>NC_000024.10:7845274-8145684 GCF_000001405.40 Homo sapiens | reverse complement strand
TCTTAAACCTTTAAACAACCACCTATCTGAAACTTTATGATGTTGTTTTACATTTATACACTTCACTTTCCAAAAACCATGAGATTTAAAGCATTCCTATTCATATATTCACTTAAATCTGGTAGTCTGAGCCTGGGGACCCAGGCTTGTAATCCTAGCACTTTGGGAGGCCGAGGAGGGTGAATCAGGATTTTAAGAGCACTCTGGCCAGCATGGTGAAATGCTGTCTGTAGTAGAAATACAAAAATATTAGCCAAATGTGGTGGCACACACCTGTAAACCCAGTTACTCAGGATGCAGAGGCAGGAGAATAGCTTGAACCCAGAAGGTAGTGGTTACAGTGAGCCAAGATTCAGCTAATGCACCCCAGCTTGGGTGACAAACCTAGACTCTGTCTTAAAAATAAATAAATAAATAAGTAATAAAATAAAAATAAAAAAAACTGATAAAATCCCAAGCCTTCTAGATAATCTCTATTTGTAAGAAGTTATTGCTAAACCATTTCTTAACAAAAACCATTGTCAAATATTATAGGAAATAACATGAGTACCTCCCATGTAAAAGAACTTATTTTCCACTATTTAAAGTAGGAACACCTAATTTCATTAAGCTATGTACTTATGAAACATAGCTGGTTCAGTATTTATTTAGGTGGAAAAAATATTTACATCCCCATTACCCCTTTCAGTCACAAAATGCTTCAAAAAGAATGTTCTGGATGTCTTAAACTTTAGTATCAACGATATCTAATTATTTCCTTTGACCTACATGATTCCTTTGAATGATAAACATTTTATGGTGAGGCAGACAGTTTTGCAGTCTTTCTGAAGACTCTCAAACTTTTAAAGCTCGTAAGTTTTTAAAGAGTTTTAAAGAGAAACACAGCCTAATTAGAAAATGTGTGCAGCTTGCAAGGGAGATGTAATCTGTGCCGATTTCTGTATCTATTTATATTCAAAGCTACAAAAGAAAATTTTTGACAAACATCACAATTTAATCTCCTATTAAATTTGCTTTTAAGCATGTGTGGCAATAAAATCAGGCATTATGCATTACATGTATAATTTTATTCTGAAAATTTTAATACAGCCATATCATCAAAACAGATAGTTTTCAAATAGGATTAACAATTATGAAATTACTATGAAAAAATTCCTTTTCATCTTAATACCTTTCAAAAAATTCATGGAGGAAGTTAGGATCTACCTCTCCCCCAAAATCAACATATTTTTTTTAGTGGTACTCATGTAATGATGTAGAAATAACATTTTAATTTTTGATTTGCAAGCAAGTTTTGGAATGCAATTACTATTTTCTTTTCTTTTTCTCTTTTTATTTTGTGTGACAGTTTCGCTTTGTTGCCCAGGCTGGAGTGCAGTGACGAGATCTTAGCTCACTGCAACCTCTGTCTCCTGGGTTCAAGCAATTCTCCTGCCTTAGCCTCCTGAGTACCAAGGTAACTATTATTTTTAATATCTCCTTTAATATCTGCTTCAGTCTCCTTTTTCACCTTGGCTTGCCCCACCACTTCCTGTAAGTGCCCCATAACTTGAGCTACCACATCCTTCACGAGGAGAAGGGTGCACCCTATCCAGAAAAGGTAGATTCCTTCATTCCTTCCTGCCATTGTGCTCATGAAAACAGGAATATAAATTACCACAGCTCCGTGAGTAACTCTCCTGACTTCTGCCATATCTATCTCATGTACTGTTATAATCAGAGCAACTATTTCCACCATAACTCATCCAAGGCTCTCGTGCAGGTGGTGCACCATGAGAGGTCCCTGCAAGGTTGATAAAATATGGAACTTACAGTGAACTAAATTTAAACATTTCTATTGGTAGCACTAATGCGTGTCTCAGTTAAAGTACTATTTGGAAAAGTCTGCTTTCCTCTGTCTCCGTTGACAGCATATTAATTATGCCCGAAATAGTCAAAAGATTTTATTTAAAAGAAGTATAAGAATTGTATTTTGAAGCATAAGAAAGTTTATTTTAAAATAAAAATTAAGTCACATTTTCTGAAAATGAACTGAAGTTCTCACCTACATATTCACTATGCATTATACTGTTAGCAATTCTCAGTGTTTAAACATGTTATATTTTTCCTTTAAGATTTTCCTTAAAATTTTATTAAAGCAATGATCTGGTCTATTAAATATAATACTATAATTTACAAATCAAACCTGGACACTTACCATAACTCTGATATGCATCTCTGTAAGAACTTCCACTTGGACTTTCGGAATGATCTCTACCATGGCCCACTCTGTAGCCATCACAGTCACTAAATTTAAAAAAGTTTGCTAATATCAGCAGGAGCAACTTAAGAAATCTCTTTGACAAAACCAGAAAATATTATAGTACCTATTTCCTCTAGAGGACTGTTCATCCCTACTAGAACCACCAGAATCATGGTATCCATAATCTCTACACAGTGGAGCATCATCCCTGGTGTCTCGGAAACTTGTATGAATTCTGCTTGCATAAGTTAAAGCAACACATTTTAAATTATCAACTTCTAGTATTCAAAACGTAACTAAATTACAACTTAAACAAAATAAAGGGTTAAACGCTTGAATAGATATTTATCCAAATAAAATATGTAAATGCTCAAAAAGCACATGGAACAAATAATCATAATAGTTATTCAGAAAATGCATTTCAAAACCAAAATGAGATACCATACTTCACACATACTGGAATGGAAATAGATTTTAAAAAGCAGGAAGTAGCAAGTGTTTGAGAGGATGTAGATAATTTGGATCCCTGATACAATGCTAGTTGGGATGGAAAATGATGCAGCTACTATGGAGAAATGTGGTGCTTACTCAAGAAAATAAACACAATTATCGTAAGACCAAGAAATTCCACTCATATATATCAAGAATTGAATAAGTGTACCCAAACAAATATGTGCATATAGAAATACTGTGGTGGAAACAACCCAAACAAAATAATGGGCTAACAGCTTGTGTAAGGAGAGAAGTGCTACAATGTAAATGAACCTTCATGGCATCATGCAAATGAAAGCTGACAGTTACAAAAAGTCATGTAATGTTTGGGCCCATTAACATGAAATGTCCAGAACAGGTAAGTTCAGAGACAGAAAACAGATTGTTGTTTGCTAGTGGCTGACAGAAGGGAGAAAATGAAAGGAACTGCTTAACTGGTAGTGGAGCTGTAGTTTGGAGTGATGAAAATGTTTTAGAACTAGATGGACGTAGTTGTTGCACCACACAGAATGTATTAAATGCCACTTAAGTATTTATCTTTAAATGTTTAATTTTGTTATGTGAATTTCATCACCACAACAAAAGTCAACTATTTTTCCATTTTTCCTTTACCTATCCTTAGTTGCATAACCCTCATCTCTTGGTGACACAAGGTCAATTCTCCAGGAAGAGACTGGCTCTCTGTGTGGAGGACCTCCATAATTCTCTCATCCAAGTGACATGGGATATTTAATGTTAAAATGATTAAATATTATGTAAAGGACACAAAATCTGAAACACTGTTTTTTCTTCTGTAAAACAACTTTTTAAAATTATTTCTTGTATGACTCTATTCTTCTTTCCCTAAATTACTAGACATTCATGACACTTAAATATTTCTTATGGCTTTGGATATTACCATGGCTCCACAAGACCAGTTCTTCTAATGAAGCTGAAGCCAAACATTAATTCTTAGGTAAAAGTTCGTTTTTAATTGTTAAAAACTAGTTGGCTATTATTTTTCTTTTCATATGTATGAATTACTGATGACTACTAATGACACAGGGAAAACATGTAAAACCATCAAACTCTTTAGGAATATAAAGTTTACATACGTTGTCCCTTCTCAGCTGAAGAAGGTAAATTTTCCCATGTTGTTCAATCCACCACACACACACAAATATTGCTACCTTTGAACGACTGTATGCTAAATTTTTACATAAAAGTGCTCCTTTATCTCTAAGTAATTGGCTCTATTGTAAATGTTGACAAATTGAAGTTTACTAGTGCAGCTCTCCTAGTGATGGCCAATATTTACTTTTACTATAGTTAGCAATACTTTTAAAAGGGTCATTACAACATTGTACCTCTTTCAAAAATAGAAAACTTCCTCCTTTAACATACTCTTCACATGCTAATTCGGAGAGGTCAGTCTTTCACCTGTCATGTGTTCACTGGCTAGATTTCTAATGGAAATGTGCTGGCATATGTATTCTGAAATCAATCAATACGTAACTTCACAAATACTCTACATGTGAAATGTAAAATTGAAAATGGCAGTTTTGAATTTCCTCCATGTTATGATGGAGGGCTAGGTAAGAATTTTAATTTGTTCTGCTTGAATTTCTTTGCTAAGAACTGTTACTTTATTGTCTTGCTTTCTTCTCTTCAGTCTGAAATCTTACACTTACCCTTCTCAAAAACATTACTTCTATTCGATCCTACTGTCCACACCTCATGCTGCTTAGAACTAAATTCTCTCCTCAGATAATTTCAAATCCTACACTAAGGATCTTGTGTTAAGGTTTCAACATCCCTGCACAATCTTAATAAGTAATTTACACCCCCATATATTTCACAACTCTGCACTTTTTTGGCATGCTCTTAACTTAAAAATGCTGGACTCCTTCAAGTGTACCTTTCAAGCATTAATATTATTATTAAATTTTATTTAAGCCCAGTGATTGCTTATCTACAAAATGCTCTTTTAGTTCTTAGTATCTTCACATACCCAGTAAGAATGCCATGCGCATAAGTATCATTCAGGTCTCAGAACCTGGATGGACAGGTGCAATGGCTCACACTGTGAACCGGCGTGGAAGGCTGAGGCAGCTGGACAGCTTGAGCCCAGAGGTTTCACATCAGCTATGACAATGCAATGAGATCCTATCTCTACAAAAATATAGAAAAAAGAAAAACAAATTTAGCTATGTGTGGTGGTGCACACTTGTAGGCACAGCAATGCAGGAGGGTGAAACACGAGAATTGCTTGAGACCAGGAATTTGAGGTCATAGTGAGCTATCATCTCACCAACACACTCTGACCTGCTGAGAACAAGACTCCAACCCAACAAAGAAACTGAACAAACAATTTTTAGATTGGCACACTGGGGGACAAGTACCAAGGGACCTAGGTAATGGAATAATTCATTAGACTAAGAAGACTAACATCAAAGAAAACTACCAGGAACTTCAAGAAAAATAAAGAGGAATTCTCTAGCAAATACAGGATGAAAACTAATGTTTGCCTCAGTGTAATAACTTCTTTGATCTACAATTAGGAGCTCAAGTATTTCCTCATCATGAATCTGAAATTAACCTAGTGAGACATAAACTACAATAAAAGCTATCAATCGAAGATGGCCGAATAGGAAGAGCTCCAGTCTACAGCTCCCAGCATGAGCGACGCAGAAGACGGGTGATTTCTGCATTTCCATCTGAGGTACCGGGTTCATCTCGCTAGGGAGTGCCAGACAGTGGGCGCAGGTCAGTGGGTGTGTGCACCGAGCGCGAGCCGAAGCAGGGTGAGGCATTGCCTCACTCAGGAAGCACAAGGGGTCAGGGAGTTCCCTTTCCTAATCAAAGAAAGGGGTGACGGACGGTACCTGGAGAATCGGGTCACTCCCACCGGAATACTGTGCTTTTCCGACGGGCTTAAAAAACGGCGCACCACCAGATTATATCCCGCATCTGGCTCGGAGGGTCCTACCCCACGGAGTCTCGCTGATTACTAGCACAGCAGTCTGAAATCAAACTGCAAGGCAGCAGCGAGGCTGGGGGAGGGGCACCCACCATTGCCCAGGCTTGCTTAGGTAAACAAAGCAGCCAGGAAGCTCGAACTGGGTGGAGCCCACCACAGCTCAAGGAGGCCTGCCTGCATCTGTAGGCTCCACCTCTGGGGGCAGGGCACAGACAAACAAAAAGACAGCAGTAACCTCTGCAGACTTAAATGTCCCTGTCTGACAGCTTTGAAGAGAGCAGTGGTTCTCCCAGTACCCAGCTGGAGATCTGAGAAGAGGCAGACTGCCTCCTCAAGTGGGTCCCTGACCCCTGACCCCCGAGCAGCCTAACTGGGAGGCACCCTCCAGCAGGGGCACACTGACACCTCACACTGCAGGGTACTCCAACAGACCTGCAGCTGAGGGTCCTGTCTGTTAGAAGGAAAACTAACAAACAGAAAGGACATCCACACCAAAAACCCATCTGTACATCACCATCATCAAAGACCAAAAGTAGATAAAACCACAAAGATGGGGAAAAAACAGAATAGAAAAACTGGAAACTCTAAAAATCAGAGCGCCTCTCCTCCTCCAAAGGAATGCAGCTCCTCACCAGCAATGGAACAAAGCTGGATGGAGAATGACTTTGACAAGCTGAGAGAAGAAGGCTTCAGACGATCAAATTACTCTGAGCTACAGGAAGACATTCAAACCAAAGGCAAAGAAGTTGAAAACTTTGAAAAAAATTTAGAAGAATGTATAACTAGAATAACCAATACAGAGAAGTGCTTAAAGGAGCTGATGGAGCTGAAAACCAAGGCTCGAGAACTACGTGAAGAATGCAGAAGCCTCAGGAGCCGAGGTGATCAAGTGGAAGAAAGGGTATCAGGAATGGAAGATGAAATGAATGAAATGAAGCGAGAAGGAAAGTTTAGAGAAAAAAGAATAAAAAGAAACGAGCAAAGCCTCCAAGAAATATGGGACTATGTGGAAAAGACCAAATCTACGTCTGATTGGTGTACATGAAAGTGATGGGGAGAATGGAACCAAGTTGGAAAACACTCTGCAGGATATTATCCAGGAGAATTTCCCCAATCTAGCAAGGCAGGCCAACATTCAGATTCAGGAAATACAGAGAGCACCACAAAGATACTCCTTGAGAAGAGCAACTCCAAGACACGTAATTGTCAGATTCACCAAAGTTGAAATGAAGGAAAAAATGTTAAGGGCAGCCAGAGAGAAAGGTCGGGTTACCCTCAAAGGGAAGCCCATCAGACTAACAGCAGATCTCTCGGCAGAAACCCTACAAGCCAGAAGAGAGTGGGGGCCAATATTCAACATTCTTAAAGAAAACAATTTTCAACCCAGAATTTCATATTCAGCCAAACTAAGCTTCATAAGTGAAGGAGAAATAAAATACTTTACAGACAAGCAAATGCTGAGAGATTTTGTCACCACCAGGCCTGCCCTAAAAGAGCTCCTGAAGGAAGCACTAAACATAGAAAGGAACAACCGTTACCAGCCACTGCAAAATCATGCCAAAATGTAATGACCATCGAGACTAGGAATAAACTGCATCAACTAACGAGCAAAATAACCAGCTAACATCATAATGACAGGATCAAATTCACACATAACACTATTAACTTTAAATGTAAATGGACTAAATGCTCCAATTAAAAGACACAGACTGGCAAATTGGATAAAGAGTCAAGACCCATCAGTGTGCTGTATTCAGGAAACCCATCTCACGTGCAGATTCTCACATAGGCTCAAAATTAAAGGATGGAGGAAGATCTACCAAGCAAATGGAAAACAAAAAAGGCAGGGGTTGCAATCCTACTCTCTGATAAAACAGACTTTAAACCAACAAAGATCAAAAGAGACAAAGAAGGCCATTACATAATGGTAAAGGGATCAACTCAACAAGAAGAGCTAACTATCCTAAATATATATGCACCCAATACAGGAGCACCAAGATTCATTAAGCAAGTCCTGAGTGACCTACAAAGAGACTTAGACTCCCACACATTAATAATGGGAGACTTTAACACCCCACTGTCAACATTAGACAGATCAACGAGACAGAAAGTCAACAAGGATACCCAGGAATTGAACTCAGCTCTGCACCAAGCAGACCTAATACACATCTACAGAACTCTCCACCCCAAATCAACAGAATATACATTTTTTTCAGCACCACACCACACCTAATTCCAAAATTGACCACATACTTGGAAGTAAAGCTCTCCGCAGCAAATGTAAAAGAACACAAATTATAAAAAACTATCTCTCAGACCACAGTGCAATCAAACTAGAACTCAGGATTAAGAATCTCACTCAAAACCACTCAACTACATGGAAACTGAACAACCTGCTCCTGAATGACTACTGGGTACATAACGAAATGAAGGCAGAAAGAAAGATGTTCTTTGAAACCAAGGAGAACAAAGACACAACATACCAGAATCTCTGGGACGCATTCAAAGCAGTGTGTAGAGGGAAATTTATAGCACTAAATGCCCACAAGAGAAAGCAGGAAAGATCCAAAATTGACACCCTAACATCACAATTAAAAGAACTAGAAAAGCAAGAGCAAACACAGTCAAAAGCTAGCAGAAGGCAAGAAATAACTAAAATCAGAGCAGAACTGAAGGAAATGGAGGCACAAAAAACCCTTCAAAAAATTAATGAATCCAGGAGCTGGTTTTTTGAAAGGATCAACAAAATTGATAGACCGCTAGCAAGACTAATAAAGAAAAAAAGAGAGAAGAATCAAATAGATGCAATAAATAATGATAAAGGGGATATCACCACTGATCCCACAGAAATACAAACTACCATCAGAGAATACTACAAACACCTCTACGCAAATAAACTAGAAAATCTAGAAGAAATGGATAAATTCCTTGACACATACACTCTCCCAAGACTAAACCAGGAAGAAGTTGAATCTCTGAATAGACCAATAACAGGATCTGAAATTGTGGCAATAATCAATAGCTTACCAACCAAAAAGAGTCCAGGACCAGATGGATTCACAGCCGAATTCTACCAGAGGTACAAGGAGGAACTGCTACCATTCCTTCTGAAACTATTCCAATCAATAGAAAAAGAGGGAATCCTCCTTAACTCATTTTATGAGGCCAGCATCATTCTGATACCAAAGCCAGGCAGAGACACAACCGAAAAAGAGAATTTTAGACCAATATCCTTGATGAACATTGATGCAAAAATCCTCAATAAAATACTGGCAAACAGAATCCAGCAGCATATCAAAAAGCTTATCCACCATGATCAAGTGGGCTTCATCCCTGGGATGCAAAGCTGGTTCAATATATGCAAATCAATAAATGTAATCCAGCATATAAACAGAGCCAAAGACAAAAACCACATGATTATCTCAACAGATGCAGAAAAGGCCTTTGACAAAATTCAACAACCCTTCATGCTAAAAACTCTCCATAAATTAGGTATTGATGGGACATATTTCAAAATGAGAAGAGCTATCTATTGCAAACCCACAGCCAATATCATACTGAATGGGCAAAAACTGGAAGCATTCCCTTTGAAAACTGGCACAAGACAGGGATGCTCTCTCTCACCACTCCTATTCAACATAGTGTTGGAAGTTCTGGCCAGGGCAATTAGGCAGGAGAAGGAAATAAAGGGTATTCAATTAGGAAAAGAGGAAGTCAAATTGTCCCTGTTTGCAGATGACATGATTGTATATCTAGAAAACCCCATTGTCTCAGCCCAAAATCTCCTTAAGCTGATAAGCAACTTCAGCAAAGTCTCAGGATACAAAATCAATGTGCAAAAATCACAAGCATTCCTATACACCAACAACAGACAAACAGAGATCCAAATCATGAGTGAACTCCCATTCACAATTGCTTCAAAGAGAATAAAATACCTAGGAATCCAACTTACAAGGGATGTGCAGGACCACTTCAAGGAGAACTACAAACCGCGCTCAAGGAAATAAAAGAGGATACAAACAAATGGAAGAACATTCCATGCTCATGGGTAGGAAGAATCAATATCATGAAAATGGCCATACTGCCCAAGGTAATTTACAGATTCAATGCCATCGCCATCAAGCTACCAATGCCTTTCTTCACAGAATTGGAAAAAACTACTTTAAAGTTCATATGGAACCAAAAAAGAGCCCACGTCACCAAGTCAATCCTAAGCCAAAAGAACAAAGCTGGAGGCATCAAACTACCTGACTTCAAACTATACTACAAGGCTACAGTAACCAAAACAGCATTGTACTGGTACCAAAACAGAGATATAGATCAGTGGAACAGAACAGAGCCCTCAGAAATAAAGCCGCATATCTATAACTACCTGATCTTTGACAAACCTGAGAAAAACAAGCAATGGGGAAAGGATTCCCTATTTAATAAATGGTGCTGGGAAAACTGGCTAGACATATGTAAAAAGCTGAAACTGGATCCCTTCCTTACACCTTATAAAAAATCAATTCAAGACGGATTAAAGACTTAAATGTTAGACCTAAAACCATAAAAACCCTAGAAGAAAACCTAGGCATTACCATTCAGGACATAGTCATGGGCAAGGACTTCATGTTTAAAACACCAAAAGCAATGACAACAAAAGCCAAAATTGACAAATGGGATCTAATTAAACTAAAGAGCTTCTGCACAGCAAAAGAAACTACCATCAGAGTGAAGAGCAACCTACAAAATGGGAGACAATTTTTGCAACCTACTCATCTGACAAAGGGCTAATATCCAGAATCTACAATGAACTGAAACCAATTTACAAGAAAAAAAAACAAACAACCCCATCAAAAAGTGAGCGAAGGACATGAACAGACACTTTTCAAAATAAGACATTTAGGCAGCCAAAAAACACTTGAAAAAATGCTCACCATCACTGGCCATCAGAGAAATGCAAATCAAAACCACAATGAGATACCATCTCACACCAGTTAGAATGGCAATCATTAAAACGTCAGGAAACAACAGGTGCTGGAGAGGATGTGGAGAAATAGGAACACTTTTACACTGTTCCTGGGACTGTAAACTAGTTCAACCATTGTGGAAGTCAATGTGGCGATTCCTCAGGGATCTAGAACTAGAAATACCATTTGACCCAGCCATCCCATTACTGGGTATATACCCAAAGGACTATAAATCATGCTGCTATAAAGACACATGCACATGTATATTTATTGCGGCATTATTCACAATAGCAAATACTTGGAACCAACCCAAATGTCCAACAATGATAGACTGGATTAAGAAAATGTGGCACATATACACCATGGAATACTATGCAGCCATAAAAAATGATGAGTTCATGTCCTTTGTAGTGACATGGATGAAATTGGAAATCATCATTCTCAGTAAACTATCACAAGAACAAAAAACCAAATACCGCATATTCTCACTCATAGGTGGGAATTGAACAATGAGATCACATGGACACAGGAAGGGGAACATCACACTCTGGGGACTGTGGTGGGCTGGGGGGAGGGGTGAGGGATAGCACTGGGAGATATACCTAATGCTAGATGACGAGTTAGTGGGTGCAGCACACCAGCATGGCACATGTATACGTATGTAACTAACCTGCACAATGTGCACATGTACCCTAAAACTTAAATTATAATAATAAAAAAATAAATAAATAAAATAAAATAAAAGCTCTCAATCAGTAAGTATGTCCATGTGTATGTCACTACTATTTTGTTTCTTAAAGTAAAAGTTAAGCAGCCAATTAAAATAGCTCATTTTTAGTCATACAAAAACAACTGTCTTCTATCAGGTAGCATTTACCTTGGCCTCCCATCCCACTATTGCTTCTTGCCACAGTAGAAGGAGCAGATTTTTTTCTTCTTTTTTGAGACGGAGTCTTGCTCTGACACCCAGGCTGGAGTGCAGTCCAGAATCTCAGCTCACTGCAAGCTCCACCTCCCAGGTTCATGCCCTTCTCCTGCCTCAGCCTCCCAAGTAGCTGGGACTACAGGCGCCCACCACCACACCCAGCTAATTTTTTTTTATTATTTTATTTTTATTTTTAGTAGAGGTGGAGTTTCGCCATGTTAGCAAGGATGGTCTCGGTCTCCTGACCTCATGTTCTGCCCACCTAGGCCTCCCAAAGTCTTGGGATTACAGGCATGAGCCACCAGGCCCATCCCAGAAGGAGCAGATTTTTTAGGAAGAGGATCTCTACTTCTTGAAGATGGACCTTTTTTAACTGGAAATGTTCCCCTATAAGGAGTCACGTTGAGATCAAGAGTGTATCCACCATCTTCTGTGTTTAAAAAAAAATCTTTTCAGTTAAGTAACTTGCTGTGTCTTAAATGGCTAAGTTTTAGTTGTTTATAAATATTTCCTAAATATGATAATCTTACAAATTCCCATTTGTTTAAACTAATAAAATTTAGTATTTCTATACCACATTAGTGCAATACAAACAAAAAAAGTTCATTTAGAAAACCTAGAGTATGGCTGGGTGGGGTGGCTCACTCCTGTAATCCCAGCACTTTGGGAGGCTGAGTTGGGCTGATCATGAGGTCAAGAGAGCAAGACCATCCTGGGCAAAATGGTGTAACTTCATCTCTACTGAAAATACAAAAATTAACTGGGCCTCTTGGCATGCAACCGCAGTCCCAACTATACATGAGTCTGAGGCAGGAGAATCACTGGAACCAGGGAGGCAGAGGTTGCAGTGAGCTGAGATCGTGCCACCGCATTCCAGCCTGGCAACAGAGGAAAATCTAAAACATAACACAAGACACATTTCATATTGGTGTAAGAGAGAGATGTGGGATAAATGCAGAGTGAAGAGAGAGCAAAAATCTACCAGTTAAATATACAAATACAGTCTAGATAAAGAAAAAATATATTAAGAGAAAAATGATACATAAAATTCTGGTATGAGGAAAGCTTAAAATATATCATAAGGGTACAACAAATTCCATTCAAAGAAACTCAAATATTTACAAAATCAAAAAATTACATCTCAGAAAAATACATTATCTGTAAAATGTAAAAATACATTATCTGTAAAAGAATGATACAGTTCTTACAAATTCATTATGAAATATTAATTTTTAGCTTAGCCTATACTCAATTTTAATCTTTAAGAATTGCACATTAAATAATAAAAAAAATTTCATATATCTACAAAATGTAGATATATTCTAATGCCCTGGTGGTGTCACAGGTAAGGAAATGCATATTTTCATTACATGGCAGAGTAGTATTAATCTTCACTCTCAAGATCAATTGAGAAAAAAAATACTATGAAGCTATGTACCTTAAAATGGAGCAAACACTGCAATTTTAACTTGAGAAAGCATATCCAATGAATTATACATCTGGTTATTAAAACTGAAATTAAATATTAGACTTTTGAAGGTTGGTTAATAGATAATATAATTGAACCAGTTTTTTTAATACATGGATTTTTTAAGTAAAAATTGACCCCTCATTCCTATTGAGTAAATCATCCATAAATACCATTTTCAGTGACTCATCCTCCAGCAAAGAAAGATACTAATATATTTGTGAAGCAGTGGTTTTTAGACTTTTCCTGAATCACAGACTCTTGAGAAGCTGAAGTTATAGATTTCTTAAATGCAAAATGATTTATGGCAGGCCAATGTGCAAATTATGCATATCAAAATGGTAAAGGAATATATTTGTATAGATACTTACATGTGTATACACAAATAATAAATATTGCAGGACCAATCCTAAAATAATGACTTACTTATTTCTTGTTGGAAGGTTTTCAAGATTCTATTGTATTTTGATAATACATTTTATACGAAGTTCTAGGCCCAAAAGTAAGAAACTCTAAAGCGTAATGAATGTAAATGAATTCTACAGAAAACCTGTTGAGTACAAACAATCAACATTAAAATACTTAATTTGGTTTTAAATGTGTGTTATTTCAATGCAAAGTAATTAAGATTTTAAAATGAAATTTTCATATTATTTTAATCATTCTTATAATACATCTTTAGTACTTACAAATAATTTTGCTAATTATCAGTAAGTTAATTTCCTGAACATAAAGGAAGTAAATTAAATTGAGAAATTTTGATATCTTCAACTTAATGACTTTCAGTCCTATGGTTCCATCCTTATATTTTAAAACATGACCCAAGAGTCCTTCACATGAGGGATGCAACCCGCTTGTTCCTCTACTACCTCCTCTGGCAGATCTTAGACTTCCTGAAGAGCTGCTGTTGCTCCAAGAAGGTGATGATCTCCACCTACCATCACTTTGAAAAGATAATTTGTTGAATTGCTTTACTTTTATTGGTTTTCCATTCAAAGACTAAAAGTATTAAGTATCCTATCAATAACATTGTCAAATTTAACCCACATTTTACAAATATTTTTGCATCCACTATATTTCAGTTCTAGATGCTTTCTCCCAAAGCAAATAGACCTTTTTCTCCTGAAATGACCATGTCTTTCTCAATGCCAAATTTGAGACATTTACTGATCACATGCTTTCCATTAAAGGATCAAACACAAATTCTATTACTCAAATTCTTTGAAAAGTTTTCCAGTATTAAAAAATCACCTCAAAAAAATTAACCCATCACACATTCTATGGGATAATGCAGCACATCTCTTTTTTACAAAATATAATCTACTTCATATTTGTATTCACATCACTTATTTAATTGTTTTGGTGTCCCACGGGTATATGTAATAATGTGTCATCTAAAAAAATAAGATTATTTATTCAAAGTGATTAGCCACATTATTCGTTATGAATTGTTTCTTGTTTCTTCTGCTAACATTTACATAAAATGTCTTAATATGATTTACAATTATATATTTACTCTAATTCTGTTTCTGTAAATGTGATACTTGTTTGGTTTCATTCATGTTTTTTGCCTTACTCATTTCTTATCTTGCCTTAAAAGTGTCCCTAATAAATGACTTTTAATAGAACACTTCTGTTATTTCTCAGAAATGCTTAAATGAACTAATGAATTTCATAATAACTTGCTTCAGTTTAACCTTTTCCATAGGCTAAGGTGATTTTTGAAAAAATGTCAGCAAAAATTGGATTTAAAAATTACATTGATTTGTTATTTGGGGAAAGATCTTAAATCCTTTCCAAGACCTCTTGCAGTCACATAGCCAGTCGTTTCAACTTTGGGACTTCTTTTGTTATTTCTGGGACCAAAATATGTTCCCCAGATTTGCGCATGACTGCTTCCTTCCCACAATTCGGAAGTCAGCCATAGTTTCTTAAACTGTTCATTCCCTCTGAAACCTCTAAGTACTTCCTTTATTTCACTTTTTAATTTTTGTGTGATTATTACATTTTTATTTATTCTTAGACAATAAGATATGTTAGATGAAGTAATTTAGAAATAATATCTATAGAAATAACCTGTTGTTGTGCTTGAAAACTATGGGTAAAAAGAATTTGTCATAGATTACTATACCTAAGTCAAAATTATTTCCATACCTACAAAACCATTACAAAAGCCAAAAGTAATTTTCAGTTTCTACCAAAACTTAAAATATGAAAATATAACTGTGAACCAAAATGTACTTTCTGCTATGTACCAGGAAGTGTGCTAGATGTAACAGAAACAAAAGCAACTAGGAAAATTTAAATATGCACTAAAGACAATTTAACAATCAACAGATTAATACGTGGTACAATGAGGACAAAATACTGACAATATACAGAGAAGAAGAAAATGTAAAATCTAAGCTGTTTGTGAAGCATAAATTGTTATTTGTGAGACATACGCCAGGAAGAATAACTCTCAAGAAGTCCAAAAAAGCGTATTTGTGATAGCATAAAGAGTAATGGGGAGTAATAACAGATTGGGGTGATGTTGTAAAACAAAAAATCTTGAAAGTGTCCAGAATGCAATGATTTTGATGGCAATATAAAGGAATTCAGTAGGTAATAGAATTACACAAAAGTTTAAAGCTGTAATAAACATACAATCCCAAGAATTTAAGATTCAATAAGACAGAGACCACTGGTTAGAACAAAATAAGTCCTCAAACACACTGGGAAAATTAGTAGTTATGTATTCATGTTATATAAATCACTCTGGTGACAGGATAAAAACGATTTTAGGAGAAAAAGAGCAAAGATGGGGCAAAAATGTCAGTTAGCAGTTCGGTTACCCAACTTCAACTTTCTCATATTATTTTCTGTTTTCAAGTACTTAACATTTCCTTCAATGTAAAGATCTTGTTTTAAACATACTTTCCCAAGAATGTATTTTCAGAAAATGAGAAAGAATCTTTACTTCTGGTGAGTCTGTTCAGATGTCTCTCTATAGAAGATTTGCATCTTGTAAGTTTGTTGAGCTGTATATCCATAGTTTGTCTATGCTATTGAAGTATTGCCATGAATTGGAAGTAATTCCATTAATAGCACTTAATAAATACAGACTGATTTGTCTCATTTTTGTGAGGGTTCCTTCTAAGTTTCAAAGCTGCTTGAAAGATTTGAAAATCTATTTACAGTTGTATTAAAATACTAACATACAAATAGGATTGCCATATATTAATTTGTGTAACATTTATTCCAGTATCCTTCCAACTACACTTGCACTTACATGGCAAAAAGAAGAGGATGGCTAAAGCATTTCAGATCATATGACATTATGCTGTCTTCAAAAGTTTAGTAATACTTAAAAGACCCTGAAATGCTGTTAAGCAAAGAACAGTTAGGATAGTATTAATAAAGGACTCTTACATTTCCATTCATACATTCAACAGCATTCTTAGCACCTGCAGCTTTCTGAAAATAAATGCAAAGTGTCTGAACTTGCTGGTTTCCCAATCATTTATCAGAAGAACTAAAATACATGAAAACCTTTTTCCATTAATGTAACGGACTCACCATAGTATTGAGAGGTGATAGCGTGCTGGCAGCCCTCGCAGCCCTTGCTGGCTCTTGGCGCCTCCTCGGCCTCGGCGTCCGCTCTGGCCATGCTCGGGGAGCCCTTCAGCCCACCACTGCGCTGTGAGGGCCCCTCTCTGGGCTGGTTGTGGCAGGAATCGGCTCCCTCAGCTTGCCCGGAGGTGTGGAGGGAGAGGCGGGGCGGGAACCGGAGCTGCGTGCTGCACTTGCGGGCCAGCTAGAGCTCTGGATGGGCGTAGGCTTGGCAGGCCCAGCACTCGGAGCGGCCAGCCGGCCCGGCCACCTCCAGGCAGTAAGGGGCTTAGCACCAGGGCCAGCAGCTGCGGAGTGTGCGCCAGGTTCCCCAGCAGTGCTGGCCTCCTGTGCTGCGCTCGATTTCTCACTGGGCCTTAGCTGCTTCCCCATGCGGCAGGGTTTGGGACCTGCAGCCCGCCATGCCTGAGCCTCCCCGACCCCGCCGGGAGCTCCCCCACGGCCTGAGCCTCCTGGAGGAGCGCCGCCCACTGCTCCAGGGTGCCAGGTCCTATCAACCGCTCAAGGACTGAGTGCAGGCGCAAGACGCTGGACTGGCAGGCAGCTCCACCTGCGGGCAGGTGCGGGATCCACTGGGTGAAGCCAGCTGGGCTCCTAAGTTTAGTGGGGACTTGGAGAACATTTATGTCTCCCTAAGGGATTGTGAATACACCAATCTGCACTCTGTATCCAGCTCAAGGTTTGTAAGTATACCAATCAGCATTCTGTGTCTAGCTCAGGGTTTGTAAATACACCAATCAGCACTCTGTATCTAGCTAATCTAGTGGGGACTTGGAGAACTTTTGTGTCTAGTGCAGGGATTGTAAACGCACCAATCAGCACACTGTCAAAATTGGCCAATCAGCGCTCTGTAAAACAGACCAATCAGCTGTCTGTAAAATGGACCAATCAGCAGGATGTGGGTGGGGCCAGATAAGGGAGTAAAAGCAGGCTGCCCGAAGTCAGCAGTAGCAACAGGCTTGGGTCCCTTTGTATACTGTGGGAGCGTTGTTCTTTTGCTGTTTGCAATAAATTTTGCTGTTGCTCACGGTTTGGGTCCACACTGCCTTTATGAGGTGCAACATTCACTGAGAAGGTCTGCAGCTGCACTCCTGAAGCCAGGGAGACCACAAACCCACTGGGAGGAATGAACAACTCCAGACATGCCACCTTAGGAGCTGTGACACCACGAAGGTCTGCAGCTTCAGTCCTGAGCCAGGAAGACCACGAAACCACCAGAAGGAAGACACTCCGAACACATCTGAACGTTGGAAGGAACAAACTCTGGGCATGCTGCCTTTAAGAACTGTAACACTCACGACGAGGGTCCGCGGCTTCATTCTTGAAGCCACCAATTCCAGACACAGTATGAACAAACCGAAAAGCTTGTGTTTCATATCATTACTGTGATTATTAATACTAAGTCACGTACCTCTATATTCAGACTATTTTATTCCAATTTGTTCCCTACCTCAGCAACACAATTACTTTTGCTCATTTTCCTTTCTCAGTAGTAGGTGAATTTTACCACAGATCCTTCACCTGCTGCCATGAGAATTTTCCCAATATCAAATAGAAACTTGAAAATAACAAATAAAAATATTTGTTTAAAAACAAATATTTTGACTTATGTACTCAGTAAATGTATGGAGTATATATTTACTTTGGAAAATCTATATATAACCTCTATATATATGTTAGGGAAACCAGCCCCACACCACCTGGCAGGTACCCTGAGTCCAACATATTTATTTATAAATATATATGCAAAATATATATAAACACATGTATGTATAACATACATATATAACAGTTGCCTTCCAATATGGGACCGTATTTCCCAAATACTGGTTTAAGAATCTTTTCACTGGTTTCTAGAAAGAGGCCACCAATGAAAAGCTTGCCAGGCCAATCTGCTGCGACCATTTTGCTGTAAATGGTAATAAAAAATATATGTATTTAGATAACAGTAAGCCAAAAAGATAAAATTTTATTGCATGCTGTGTTGAAAATTCTAGTGAAATTCCCTTACAGAGCCTGACATCTTTGTAGTGTTTCTTACTTTAAATATGTAAAATGTGTAACATGCAGAGCGAAAGGGGCAGTGACTTCATGGTCCAATGCTGCATTTTAATATGTACCTGACAGAAACTTTTTTGTAAAAGTGAGATGGGAAAAGCTATTGTAATTTTCTTAAGCTGTAATACACAGGATGCCCCATTTAAATGATTTTATTTGAAATCTATATATTTATATTGTACAATGTGATGTTGTGTGTATTTTTTTCTGTGGGAAAGAGAGTTTCTGGACTGGCAAATGAATTGGTCTCCCCTGTGTGAGACACCCATGAGGAGCAAGGGCAGCTTTTAAGGATAAAATTTTCCTTATTACCTTTTTGTCTTTATGCCCTGAGAGCATAACCGTTCAGCAGCATTCCACAGGTTTCTCAGGGAGATAACACTCCCTTGAAGCAGTGGAGTATAGTCAAACATCTTGGCTCCTCCTGAAACCCACTCCCACCCATTTCAGTCCTGATAAGTTAAAGATCTTAAGTAGTTTAGACACATGCCTTTGCCCTAGGAAAATCACAGAAACCACCACCGCTATATATCTTGTTGAATGACTCACAAGTTATTCTTCACTGATTAATCCTTTTCCTCATCCCTTCCTACTCCTCCCTCTGCCTTAAGAACAAAGAGCTTGTGAAACAGTTAATTAGGTGGAGCCAAAGAGCTCTGGGCGGTGAGCAAGCCTCCTACTTTCCTGTCCCCTGCACCCACCTTTTAAACACGTATTCTGTCTCTTTCTAACTCCTTTGTCTCCTCTGGACTCCGGGTTCCTGCCGGGTGGTGTAGGGCTGGTTTCCCCAACATCTGGTGCCGAATGCAGGGCTCCCCGTAATCTCTACAAATAATCTGGTGAAGGAACGCCAGAGCGTGGAAAGTGGAGGAGGACTGAGGAAGGAAGCCTGAGTACGTTTTCACTTCAAGCTCTACGGGTAAGTAGGGTACCCATACGGTACCCAGGGTAACCTGGGGAAACTATGGGTCAGGCTGAGAGTAAGTTTGCTAATTACTTAAGCCTGCTGTAGCAGTTATTGTGCCATGGAGGGATAATTGTGAGTACCTAAAATCTCACATCTTTGTTCCATCTCATAGAAAAGTATTCTCATTGGTTCCCTGAATATGGAACCATGAATGTAAAAGATTGCGACAAGGTCAGATCAGACTTAAAACGAGCAAAACAAGAGGGCCATGATAATCTCTCTGCTTGATCTGTGTGGTGGTCAATTAAAACAGCACTGGAGCCCTTTGACACTGAAAAGAAGGAGGGGTTTCAGGATGACAGAAAAGCTTAATAATCAGGAGTCTGATGATCAGCAAAGTAACCATCACAGTCTAATTTAAAAAAGGGGGAGAAATGGGATGCTATATATGCTAACTTTCAAAAACTTAAGAAAGAAACAGTTCCACCTACCGCAGAAACAGTACCACCTACTGTGCCTTTAGCAGAACATCTGGAATGGCCACCCCCAGCTCAGCCTTTTGAATTTTTGGAATGGGAGCCTGAGACTCGGCTTGCTGCTCCCATTGTTGCATACTCCACCATTAACTATGGCAAAGGGAAGCTTCAGGCTCACCCAACAGCCAGTTACAGTGGGGGAACGATCCAGGCTTGTCTGCCTCTTAATTATGGTAGAGGAATTATGCAAGCCAGCCCTAATACAAATTATGGTGCAGGGACAATCCAGGCATCCATTCTCCAAGAACGAGAAATGGGCAATTTGGATGCTTGGCAGTTACTGGTAATTATTTTGCCAGCTGAGGATCCTAAAGAACATGCTCAAGCATGCTGGGAGCCATTTCCTTTTAAAATATTAAAAAACTTAAAGCAAGCAATTGGACAATATGGGCCAAATTCTCCTTCTGTTCATTCCTTGTTACAATCTGTGGCTTATAACTGGCATTTAATACCTATGGATTGGGAGTCATTAGCCCAATCCAAGATGTCCCGCTCAGAATTTCTCTAAAATCTGGTGGATGGATGAAGCAACAAATCAGGCATGCAGAATGGCTCAAGCCCAACCTCCCATTAATATCACATTTCATCAATTGCTTGTAATTGGACAGGCATGGGGTACTCTAAATCAACAGATGGCAAAGGGTGACGAGGATGTTGATCAGCTCAGAACTATTAGCCTAAGAGCCTGGGAAAAAATTCATGACCCTGGTACTACTTAGCCTTCCTTTAACTCAGTTCAACAGGGTCCAAGGGGGCTTATCCAGATTTTGTCGCCCATTTGCAAGACATGGCGCAAAAGGCTATTTTGGATTCTCATGCCAGGAAAGTGATTGTTCACCTGCTTGCTTATGAAAATACTAATACAGAATGTCAAGCAACAATTAGAGCTATTTCTATGGTCACTATTCCAGAAAAACAATTTGAGGGTCTGATCGACACAGGAGCAGATGTGTCAATCATAGCTCTTTATCAATGGCCAGAAAACTGGCCCAAACAAAAGGCCCCCATGGGTCTTGTTGGGGTCAAGGGTTTGTTTGTATCTCACCAGGAGAGAATCAACTTCCTGTCTAGGTACCCACAAGACATCTTAAGCTGTGCCATAAGCCAGAATCCAAGGAAGAGGAAAAGACCTTGGAACATCCCTGCATCCCCAATTTGTTAGATGGCTCAGATGAACATCTCTGTTGAGCAGATGGAAACCAGTAAAACTCACCTAACAACTCCACCAACTTGGGGGCAGATGAAGAGACTATCTCACATTGCAGTAGAGAACCTGAGGTCTCAGAACAAGCCTCTGACCACCAGTAATCTAATGGTAGCTATGATGGTGGTAATCTCCTTGGTGGTAAGTCTCCCCACAGCTGAGGCAGATCAAAATTACACTTATTGAGCCTACATTCCATTCCCACCACTGATTAGGCCTGTTACATGGTCAGACAGCCCAGTGGAGTTTTATGTTACTGATAGTGTCTGGATGCCTTGACCAGCAGATAACTAGGGTCCTACTCACCCAGAGGAGGAAAGAATGTTAATGAATGTTTCTATTGGTTTTCACTTTCCTCCCATCTGTCTTGGGCCGGAAGCAGGATGTTCAAATTATGATAAAAAAAGTTGGATGGTTTATGTCCCTGCACATAATGGATCAAAAGCCTCAATTCATGCAATCAGGGGAAGAACATTTCAATCTTTGGACACCATTAAATGCCTTGAGCACGGTTATGTTATGACACATCACCAGATTAATAAATTTAAGCCTAATTAGAAGTCCTGCCCTAGGCAGGCCACTAAATGGTCTGAAAAGCTAGAGGTGCTAACCTGGGAAGATTGCATTGCAAACACCGCTGCTTTACTGCAAAATAACTCCTATGAAATTGTCATTGATTGGGCCTCTAGGGGACAATTTGCAGTAAATTGTACTGGACATTGTGAAGATTGTAGAGAGATTCCTTTTGCAAATGACTACTCAGATAATGCACCAAAATTATATATAAGAATTGAAGCAAATTACCTTATTAAGTGGGAGGAGAATGGTATGGTTCCTCCAAGCCCAAAAATGATTGATCCAATTGTAAGTCCAGAACATCCAGAATTGTGGAAATTAATGTTGGCTCAAACTCCAATTCAGATTTGGAAAGGAGAATATAAAACAGAGACCCATAATAAAAAATTTTGATTTGTTGTAGCCATGACCTCTAATCAGATGGTCCCAGTGCAGAGTTGTGTTAAACCTCCTTTTATGTTGGCAGTGGGAAAAATTAATATCTGACCTGACTCTCAAGCCATATCATGCCTCAAGTGCCATCTTTTTACCTGCATTAATTCTACCTATAATAAAGATAATAGCATTTTACTAGTTAGGGCCCAAGAAGGAGAACTTAGGAAGCCTCCCCCTCCATACTTATTATCACTGAAGTACTAAAAGAAATACTGAATAGATCAAAGAGATTCATATTTACTTTAATAGCTGTGATCATGGGCCTCATAGCTGTCACAGCTACTGCTGTTGCTGGTGTTGCTTTGCATTCTTCTATTCAAACTGCGGGCTTTGTGGATAGTTGGGAGAAAAATTCTTCTAAGCTTTGGAATTCCCAAAGCAAAATAGATCAAAAATTGGCAAATCAAATTAATGATCCCGGTCAAACAGTAATTTGGATGAGAGATCAGATTATGAGCTTGGAGCATAGAATTCAAATGCAATGTGATTGGAATACTTCTGATTTTTCTATTACACCTAGCTCTCACAATGCCACTGAACACCATTGGGAGATGATTAGATATCACTGACAGTGAAAAGAAGATAATTTAACACTAGATATTGCTAAACTGAAAAAACTTTTTGAGGCATCTCAGGTTCATCTCACCCTGTTGCCTGGAGCTGATATTCTTGCTGGGGCCACTGACGGCCTTTATAATACCAATCCTTTAAAGTGGATTAAAAAAAAGGTGGATCAACAGTTGCAAATTTTATTTCAGTTTGTGTCTGCCTATGCTGTTTGTTTTTAGTCTACAAATGTGGATGGCGCCTTCAGAGAGAAGCCAGACAGTGTCAATGAGCCATGATAGCAATGGCAGTTATTAATTAAAAAACTATTAATTAAAAAAGAGAGAGAGAGAGAAAAGGGGGGGACATGTGGGGAAAAGTTTCTGGAGTGCCAGATGAGCTGGTCTCCCCTGTGTGAGACACCCATGGGGAGCCATGGGCAGCCTCTGAGGAGAAAAGTCTCCTTATTGCCTTCATGTCTTTATGCCCTGAGAACATAACCATTTAGAGGCATTCCACATGTTTCTCAGGGAGATAACACTCCCTTGAAGCATTGGAGTATAATCAAACATCTTGGCTCCTCCTGAAACACACTCCCACCCATTTCAGTCCCAATAAGTTAAAGATCTTAAGTAGTTTAGACACACACCTTTGCTCTAGGAAATTCACAGAAACCTTCACTGCTATACATTTTATTGAATGACTCATGACTTCTTCACTGATTAATCCTTTCCTCATCCCTTCCTACTCCTCCCATCTGCCCTAAGAACAAAGAGCTTGTAAACCAATAAATTAGGCAGCGTTGAAGAGCTCTGGGCCATGAGCAAGCATCTGAAGCTCTGGTTCCCTGGACCTGCATTTTAATGCTTATTCTGTTGTCTTTCTAACTCCTTTGTCTCTGCTGGACTCAAGGTAACTACCAGGTGGTGCATGGGGCTGGTTTCCCCAACATTTTCTTGAGATGTAAATTTCCTGTTGCTAAAGTGCACTGCTCACTGCAACCTCCTCTACCGAGCCTCTAGTGATCCTCCCATGTCTCAGCTACTTGGGCAGCTACAGGTGCTTATTACCAGAGCAAGCAGGCAATTTTTTGTGTGTTCCTTTAATAGCCACAGGTTTCACCATGGTACCCAAGCTGGTCTCGAACTCCTGGGCTCAAGCGATCTTCTGGTCTGGTGCTACAAAAGTGATGAGATTTCAAGGCTGAACAACCACACCCAGCTTGATATTTTAATAAATGATTAAATCAAGCTAACTAAAATGTGCTTTCCTGGGGGAGAACAGTTTAAATTTTTTATAATATTTTAGTGATTTGAAGTATACAATAGATCAGGGTTCCCCAAACCCTGGTCTCCAACCAGTATCTGTCTGTGGCCTGTTAGGAATCCGGCTGCAGAACAAGTGATGAACCACTTGCACCACCTGAGCTTTGCCTCCTGTCAGATCAGCGAAGGCATTGGATTCCCACAGGAGTAAGAGCCCTACTGTGAACTGCGCATGCGAAGATCTAGGTGGTGCTTTCCTTGGAAGAATTTAATTCCTGAGTGTGACCTGAGGTGTTTCATCCAGAATCCATTCTCCTTGTTCCCCACTGGGCTGCCTTGTGCCCCTCGCAGCCCTGCTGCCCCACCACAGCCCCTGTCACAGTGCTCTGACCTGAAGCCCCTCCCTACCCTGTGTTCCTCCTGGAACGGCCACCCCCCACCTCCCCAAGGTGTCCACCTGGTCACCTTCTCCCACTACCCACCTCTTCTATGTGGAAAAATGCCTTCCACTAAACCGGTCCTTGGTGCCAAAATGGCAATAGATTAAAGAAGCTCATTATATTACTCAGTCTGGTCTCCAACTCGTGACTTCAAGCCATCCTCACACCTCCTCTTGCCGAAATGATAAGATTACAAGAGTAAGTCAGTGTGCCCAGTTAATAGAATAACTTAAACACATTTATTTTGTCTCTGTTTTAAGCTATCTGTCACCATTTTTCTTGATTACACCTACTTACTAGATTTAAATTATTTACTTTGCCAGAGATACATGATACATGTTTCAAATATTGTCATACAAGGAAGGAGACAATTGAAAGCTTTAAGGAGACAAATTTAAACTGAGATTATTTATGGCTCCAGACTTCCTCATACACTAAAATAATGCAATTTATGTCATAATTTCATAATTCCCTTAAAGCAAATCACAAATTTCACATGTGATGAGTAAAAGTACAAGTTGTTAATCACAGTGGTTAAGTATATTGGCTATATATTTGCATTATGACCACATTCCACATTCACAGAGAAAAACTGCTTTAACAAAAAGTGCATATGAAAAAAATGGCACCCTATCTCCATCTCCTACAACTTGCCTGCATGTCGGACATGTACCACGGTAAAGGGAAGTTTCCTCAAGAAAAATCAATGAGTTTAAAAAAAGTGAGTTTCTTAATAGCATTAAGGAGTTTTCTCCCTACTATTTCCTCCCATAACTCAACACCCACACGTTGAAAACTCATTCCCTTTTATAGGCAAAATCCAAAAACTTTGGGGTCTTTGAATTCCTGCGAAGAAACAAATCTGTGCAAAGAAACAGAAAATAAAGGTGTTTTTCGGTAGGACAAACTGATATCCAACACTTTCAGACAGACAGTTACACCCGTATACATAAATCCACGCATAATAACAATGATAACATTTCTTAACATTTGCCAAAAAAAAAAAAAAGCCTGAGAGAAATGGTCTGAATTACCACATTTCCTCTATTTGCAGGAGATGATTTAGATATTAACTATTTCTCCTGAAATACAAACATGCCCTCTGTGCTTTAAATTAAGAAGTATTTTCCCCATTTCCCTGATTTTCTGAGAAACTGCCTGTGCGTGACCCTTTGTCACCATGAGCTGAAGGAATAGTCGAGGTTAGTGGTGTACCCAGCTAAAAAGCTTAGAAACTTTTTTACCCCATGAGAGCCACAGAGGAAACAGGGAAAGAGGAACATAACATAAATCGAAGGAAGGGTGGCCCAATAAACTTTTAAATTTAAAAAAAAAGGAAAGAAAATTAAAATGCCAAAATATGTTCTATCCTATTTTCATTTTTTAATTCAATTGTGGTAGTGTGATCAACCTTAAAGAGTATTTTTATTATGAAATAGTCATCCATATTTCAATCCCCTCTCAAACATTAGCAATAAGCTCACTGTACATAGCGTTTGCTTATTTCATAAAAGGGAAAAATAGTAACTACATTTTAAAGAAATTTATAAGAAGCAAGTAATAATAGGTAAAATAACATTAAAAGAAAGCAAGAAAAGTAAGTCAATGAGGAATGAATGTTTCTGCATTTTAATCTTGTGTCTTCTCTTTTTGGATGTAATATAAATATTTGGACACCTTATTTGCTTACTAGATAAATGTACTGATTTGACCCAAACTTCCAAAATTAACAAAAGCAATATACACATAGAGAATTTCTCTGTCCTCAATTTGTGTATAAAAAATAATATCCTTAATTAACAGAGCTCTAGTAAAATAAATACTATGTATATTCCTGAAAAACAATTTATTAGCTGACAGACTATATTGTCCATGGTAAAATTATTCCATTCTATGTATTTTGTTGCAAAATAAAATGTAACATAAGAAAAACAATTTAAATATCTACACAATGAAAAACAAACATATTTTTCTGAGTTTGTCTATAAACAGTGCATAGCAGAATTTAAAAGACCAGTTCTTTAAAAATGCCTATTTATAAGCCACATTTTAATTATATTTTATATTTATAAAGTTTTGTATTAACTTTAAAAAATTAAAGTCTATACATTCTATACTCACACTTGCGAACTTCTTAGTTCATAAACTATACTGTACCAATATAGAGCTGATTGTATCTGCATAAATATTTTAATTTATCTTTTCAATGTTTTCTTTTCTAATGAATAACCTAACAGTAAATGTATGCTCTGAAGGTAAAGATATATTTATATGTTTACATATATTTCAGAAAAATGTTTCTTAAATTATGGTTACAAATCTATTGACATTATTAGTTTCTTTGTTACCAAAACACCCTGTAGCATTTTATTTTCACATTCTTTTTGTCACATTTTTAGCAGAAAAATATTAATTTGACCATGGCTTTGTCTATATTATGGATTACCTTTTTTCTATTTTGAACAGATAATAATTACCTTTGTATCGATTTATATTTACTTGAGGGAATATGTTTGTTAATGTTATATGTAATTGAGTAGTATATTATACTTAATTGATAACTAATACAAATAAAGTATTAGTAAGTTAGCTAGTGAGACTACACCACAGGAAAAATAGATATGTAAATAATACATTATGGTTTATGCCATAAGATGTATGAGAAAATACTTCAATGTTTTTTTAAAAGAGGATACACATAATGTCATTTCCTAAATAATGATAAGGATCAACCTCTTTGATTAAACATATACATATATTTTATACAATGTTCATTTTTAGAAGTCCCGTAACATTTGTATAATTTATATTAGGCCTAATTTGGAAATCAGGAAACTTAACTTACAAGCCTTTAAAAGGTACTCAGTTTTAGAAGAATATTACAAAAAATTAGGATTTAAACCAACAAATCTTCCCTCCATGAATATTTTGTTCTTAAAGAAAACTACTTCTTACAAACACATGGAAAAAAACAAGATTGAAGATGATTTTTATTTTTTTATTTATTTTTTTGTTTTGGTATTTTTTTTCATTTTTTTCTTTTTTTTATTTTATTATTATTATTCTTTAAGTTTTAGGGTACATGTGCACAATGTGCAGGTTAGTTACATATGTATACATGTGACATGCTGGTGTGATGCACTCATTAACTCGTCATTTAGCATTAGGTATATCTCCTAATGCTATCTGTCCCCCCTACCCCCACCCCACAAAGGTCCCCAGAGTGTTACGTTCCCCTTCCTGTGTCCATGTGTTCTCATTGTTCAGTTCCCACCTATGAGTGAGAATATGTGGTGTTTGGTTTTTTGTTCTTGTGATAGTTTACTGCGAATGATGATTTCCAATTTCATCCATGTCCCTACAAAGGACATAAACTCATCATTTTTTATGGCTGCATAGTATTCCATGGTGTATATGTGCCACATATTCTTAATCCAGTCTATCATTGTTGGACATTTGGATTGGCTTCAAGTCTTTGCTATTGTGAATAGCGCCACAATAAACATATGTGTGTATGTGTCTTTATAGCAGCATGATTTATAGTCCTTTGGGTATATGCCCAGTAATGGGATGGCTGGGTCAAATGGTATTTCTAGTTCTAGATCCCTGAGGAATTGCCACACTGTCTTCCACAATGGTTGAACTAGTTTACAGTCCCACCAACAGTGTAAAAGTGTTCCTATTTTTCCACATCCTCTCCAGCACCTGTTGTTTCCTGACTTTTTAATTATTGCCATTCTAACTGGTGAGATGGTATCTCATTGTTGTTTTGATTTGCATTTCTCTGATGGCCAGCGATGGTGAGCATTTTTTCATGTGTTTTTTGTCTGCATAAATTTCTTCTTTTGAGAAGTGTCTGTTCGTGTCCTTCACCCACTGTTTGATGGGGTTTTTGTTTTTTTCTTGTAAATTGGTTTGAGTTCATTGTAGATTCTGGATATTAGCCCTTTGTCAGATGAGTAGGTTGCAAAAATTTTCTCCCATTTTGTAGGTTGCTCTTCACTCTGATGGTAGTTTCTTTTGCTGTGCAGAAGCTCTTTAGTTTAATTAGATCCCATTTGTCAATTTTGGCTTTTGTTGTCATAGCTTTTGGTGTTTTAGACATGAAGTCCTTGCCCATGCCTACGTCCTGAATGGTAATGCCTAGGTTTTCTTCTAGGGTTTTTATGGTTTTAGGTCTAACAGGTAAGTCTTTAATATATCTTGAATTAATTTTTGTATAAGGTGTAAGGAAGGGATCCAGTTTCAGCTTTCTCCATATGGCTAGCCAGTTTTCCCAACACCATTTATTAAATAGGGAATCCTTTCCCCATTGCTTGTTTTTCTCAGATTTGTCAAAGATCAGATAGTTGTAGATATGCAGCATTATTTCTGAGGGCTCTGTTCTGTTCCATTGGTCTATATCTCTGTTTTGGTACCAGTACCATGCTGTTTTGGTTACTGTAGCCTTGTAGTATAGTTTGAAGTCAGGTAGCGTGATGACCCCAGCTTTGTTCTTTTGACTTAGGATTGACTTGGCAATGTGGGTTCTTCTTTGGTTCCATATGAACTTTAAAGTAATTTTTTCCAATTCTGTGAAGAAAGTCATTGGTAGCTTGATGGGGATGGCACTGAATCTATAAATTACCTTGGGCAGTATGGCTATTTTCACAATATTGATTCTTCCTACCCATGAGCATGGAATGTTCTTCCATTTCTTTCTATCCTCTTTTATTTCATTGAGCAGTGGTTGATGATTTTTAATGTATTACATATACTATGAAGAAATATTTTCTAGGCAGAGATAAAACATATGCAGATGAATGGAGTTATTAAAATCTGTGTGGTGGAAAGAAAAGCAAAAACATAAACATAGAATGATATTTTCTGGGAGAATGTGCAGAAACATGCAATGTTAACAAGTAAACATCAACTTGATGGAATAACTTGCATTTTCTTGCGGTCAATGAAATAGGACTAAATACACAAAGATCAGGGAATGTCTGTAGTGGATACAGGGAAGGAGGGTAAGATCATGAAACATTTAGCTTGCCATGCAAATAGGCTCTTTTTTTTTTTTTTTTTTTTTAGAGAAGCAGTTAAAAATCATTTGGCCAAAAGCTTCATGTCCACAAGGTACAATAATGCATGTGGTGATTTGTGCAATATAAAGTTAGGCAAACCAAGAAAAATCTAAACTTCACCACTAAATAGCTGTGTGAAGTTAGACTGCTTCATCTTTGAAATTTACCCAATCTACTAAGTGAATATAATAATGGTATCTGTTAGATATTATGGTCATAAGATTAATAATGTACTGAGCACAGTACATGCAACATAGTTTAGATGCAGCAAATCTATAGAATTGTTGTGATTACATTTATATTCAGTGAAACCTAGAGGTTTACTTGCAATCCTGCTTTCTTTAGTGACTGGTCAAAACTATACAAAATATACTTTTAAAAAATTGTGTTTCTTTGGATGCTTTGCATCCAATAGTTTAATTATATTATTGTATACTTACACTTACACATGCCTAAACAAGGAAGACAAAGAAATGAAGAAACACACATGCATGAGTACACACACATAGTCACATACATACATACACACCCTGGAAGAATAAATAACAAGAAAATAATTTAACAAGAGAAAGAAACATAGAATTATAAGAAATCTTTGCACTATTATCATACTGATGTGGAAAACAAGATGACAGATAAGTTCAAAAAAAAATCATAATTTATCAAGAATTGTTTGGAAAGAAAGAAAAACCCTATATGTAGGCCCAGCTTGGTGGCTCATGCCTGTAACCTTGAGGTCAGGAGTTCAAGGCCAGCCTGGGAAAAATGGTGAAACCCTGTCTCTATCAAAAATACAAAAAATTAGCTGGGAGTAGTGGTGTGGGTCTATGGTCCCAGCTACAGATGGTGAGCTGGGAGAATCCCTTAAACCCAGGAGGTGGAGTTTGCACTAAGCCAAGATCTCATCACTGCACTCTGGACTGGGTGATACAGCATGACCCTGTTCCAAGCAAAAACAAAACAAAACAAAACAAGTAAACACACAAAAAAACAAATTTATATGTATTGAATTCTAGGGAATAAACGTGAAAAACAGGCTTAGGATTCACTATTTTGCTGACAAATTCTTCCTTCTTCCTTTCTCTTTCTTTCTTCTTCTTTTTCCCTTCTTTTCTCTTCCCTTTCTTTTCCTTCCTCCCTTCCTTCTTTCTTTTCTTCTGTTTATTTTATTTTATTTTTAAGACAGGGTCTCTGCCCCCAGGCTGTAGTGCATCATAGCTCACTGCAACCTCCAATTTTGTCTCAGGTATCCTCTTCCTTTGCTTCCCCAGTAGTTAAGACTCAGGGAATCAGCATATGAAAGGATGATAAACATCATATACTATTCAGAAGTTGTGAATGTGGTAATAATAAATAAATTAAATAAATAAACATAAAATTGCAAAAATTGAAAGCACTGATAACAGCACATTTAGAAGAATGTTTGGTAAGCTTTGTCTTGTTTTGTTTTAACAAAACTAAACCTATTCTTTTGATCTCATACAGCAGGCTTGATTCTTGGAATTTATCTAACTAAATTAAAAATATGTTTACATCAAAATCTGCATATGGATGTTGTTCTATAGTAATTAAGAGGATAAACTGTGGTTTATGGAATATTTCTGGAATACTGTACAGCACAGAAAAAAATAGCTTTCAAGTCTTGAAAAGACATAGAAGGAACTTAAGTGTATATTTGTAAGTGAAATAAGCCAATCATAAAATGCTACACATATTATTTAAAATATATGACAATCTAGAAAGTTATTGAAGCAGTAAAAAGATTAGGGGTCCCAATGGTTTACAGGTGAGAGTGGAAAAAATAGGCACAAGTCAGGTGATTATTAGAGTATACAACAGTGAAAATATTCTATATATTATTACAATTTTGGATACATTTTATTACATGTTTGCCAAAACCCATAGAATGTGCAACAGTAAAAGTGGGCCCTAATGTAAATTGCAGATATTGAGTAATAATATATTGATATAGGTTTATGAATTGGAACAAACATACCAGTCTCATCAGAAATGTTGATAGTGGGGAAGTTTGTACATGTGGACACAGGGTGTAAGGCAGCTTTCTGTACTTTCTACTCAATTTTGTTGTAAGCCTAAAACTACTCTACTAAGATTTATTGATTTAAAAAGCTCAGTAATTAAGATTTGTATTTCAGTGCAATATTCATAAATAATTACAAATAAAAAATAATGTTGAACAAAATATTTTATAGAAAAATAAGCTCACTATCAATATTAAGGCTATGCTAAGGAATATTGAAGCAGGAATCAAAATAAATAAAGAATCAGTAATATGCTAGCTTTAAAACTATTTTAATATTTTATTATGATTATTATTGCATTATTTTGGATTTTGAAAACATTGCATTAAAATATTCTCTTTGTTGATTATTGAATTCTTTTGATGACTTTTAACTTTTGCATTTAAAGTAATTGCATTTACTCCATCTGCTTAATTCATAGTTTACTAAATCTTGGAATGGAACAGTAGACACAATGCAGGAGAGTCAAGGCCAAAGCAGAGCTAAGATCATGAGTTTCTTGGCTTTGTCCAGGAAAGAATTCAATGCCAAACCAGAGATTTAAAAAAAATAGCGTAGCTGGTAAGACAGAATCACATCTCTGGCCTTGTTACAGCTCTTTGACTCCTCTTTCAGAACAGGGCTATGCCATAAGCAAGAGAGTAGCAGCTCAGGGATATTTTGCAGCCATATTTATATTCGCTTTTAATTGCATGGATTGATAAATGCCGAAATTAATAGGGAAGGGGTGGTAATCATTGGATCATTGCCATAGAAGGGTGGTAACTCCTGGGTGTTATGATAGCAAAGGTAAATTTACACGACACGCTGGTGGGCATGTCTGATTGAAAAACTGCTTCTGTCTTGGCCCTGATTTGGGTAGTCCTCAATCTGGGTCATGTGTGAGCCCTACCCCTGGAGGTGAGTCCCACCTTCAACCTCATTCTCCACTCAGATGTTAAATACTTTCCCTTAATCTTAAGGGGGATGCAAGAGGGAGGAGGTCCATGCAGTGTACCTGCTTTCTGCTGAATCATGAGCACTGGCCTTGCCTAGCCCTAGAGAAGCAAATGTCTCTGGATACATGAGCTAAAGGGGTGAAAGGCAGAACACCACAATTATCCAGATCAGTATATAACTCAAAAGCCTTATGCCAGCATTGTTTGCACCTGGAAATATTATAATCTACAAGATACAAAGCTTACTATGAGGTTCAACAAACAAGTAAATAAATTAGTAACAACAAGACAGCTGTCAAGGGTCCTATCACAGATTTTTAAAAGGTGGAAAAACAGAGAAATACCCTTCTTTCCAGAAAATTGGGAAAATGACAATGATACCCTTCCTTTTCTAGAAAATTCAGGAGCTCAATTGTGTTTTTCTTAGTCTTTCCTAGTAGGAATACCCTGTATTCCCACTGGCAGCATCATGTTGCCACTTCTAGATGAGTGACTGTTAATTCTTTTAAATAGGTAGTGGCGATCTTCCAAAAATTTAAATTTAGATGACAATGTCCTCCATTTGTCCCTGCAGCTTATAAGAAATAGGTTTAATCCTGGATAATTGTATCCAACTAGGTATGCCCTAAAGTTTAAAAGGACTGCGATGGTCAGAACACCTGATAGGGGCCCTTCTATTTTGGTTGTAATTGATTCTCAGGGGATCCTTCCTTCAAAATGTTTACTAAGTTTAATGATTAAATAGGAGGTCAGTTAATTGCCGTGTGAGAAGGGGCAATACTTTTTGTCTATAGGCTTGGAGGACTTTTCTAACCTGGCCAAAGTTGACAATATGTGTCAACTTTTGAGTCAACTATATATCTCTTTATTAAGCAGGAGATCTCAAGCGAAACATGGCCTCAAATAACTCCTCTCAAATGGATTGTTTGGGAGGTTTTTTAAGGATCATTCCTATGTGTATAAAGACTATGGTTAAGAGAGGAACCTGAATCTCTGAGGTCTCCTGACATGGCTTAGCTAATGTCTTTTCAAAACATGATTAGCTTTTTCTATTTTACAGGAGGATTGAGTACTCCAGGGGGAGTGAATGTGATGGGTTATGCCTAAGGCTGAATGAAAGCTGCTGGGTTGCTTTAGCTGTGAAAGTGGTCCATTATCACTCTTCAGACTTTCAGGTAATAAAAACTTTGCAGCTGATCTCATTAAGTAAAAATTTGGACACTCATAATGCCTTCTCTGTGCTTGGGGGAAAATCCTTAATTCACTTGGTTGAAGGTATCTATGAATAATAGCAAATATTTCCATCCCTGTATGGTTGTGTCTGATAAAAACCTATTTGCTTGTCAGGCATGGTGGCTCATGTCTGTAATCTCATTACTTTGGGAGGCCAAGGTGGGTGGATCACGAGGTCAGGAAATCGAGACCATCCTGGCCAGCATAGTAAAACCCCATCTCTCCTAAAAATACAAAAATTAACTGGGGGTGTTGGCGAGCACTTGTAATATCAGCTACTTGGGAGGCTGAGGCAGGAGTATCATTTAAACCCAGGAGGCAGAGGTTTCGATGAGCCGAGATCATACCACTGCACTCCAGCCTAGTGACAAAGCAAGACGCCATGTCAAAAATAACAATAAAAATTCTATTTGCCAGTCTTCCCAGGGTATGTCTCTCAATGTTGTAAAGGTTTGAGTAGAGGTAGGGGTATGGAGTAGCTTCCTGGATTATTACAGCACAAAGATCACAGGCCCTGGTCATCCTCTTTATAGTCTAGAATAGTTTCTTTCCTTAAATGATATGAGAAAATAAGTTGTATATTGAGTCCTGTCCCAAATGTGAGGAGTCATATAAAGGCTTAACTACCTTTCATTGCATTGCCTCAGGGAGAAAGAGTTTTGTTGCTTTCTAGTAACCATCCTGAGAGACTCTTTTGTAATGCTTTTTGTTCTGCCCATTAAATTTCTTCATGGGTAGAGTGTAGTGTCCCGGACATGGGTGCAGTACCTGGCATTTGCCAGTGGCCTGTAACAATGGTGCCTCTTTAGATGAGGCCTTAGCTGTTTTCTCTCCCAGAGAATTTCCTTTGACAATAGAAAGGCTTTCTTTTTAGTGCCTAGTGCACTGAATTGCTACTAAACTTCTTCAGGAGCTGGACAGCTAGTTATATGCAAATACTACACCAGTTAATGCCAAGAAATTGAGAATATGCTGATTTTGGTGTCCATGGAAGTCCTTAACCAATCCCCCACTAATACTGAGAGAGGATTATGTATACTTCAATATCACACAGCTCATAATGGAAGTAAAGCCTGCATTATCACTCAAGTAATTGGCCTTCCTGTGGTTTTCTGTTACAGGTAGGTAGGTAATTTCAACTTTGACATCTTGATACCACATCTAGAAAATTTTTTAAGTTTTCTTATTAATATATATGGTTTGTATATTCTTTGAAGTTGTCCATGTATACAATCAAGTCATCTATGGATGAGGAATATTTTACTTCTTTCTTTCCAATTCTTATGTATTACAGTATTATTATTAGTATTGTTTATTGTATAAGTTAAAAATTTCAAGGACAATGTTGAAGAGAAATGGTAATAGTGACCCTTCTTGTCTTTCTCCTGATTTTGAATGAAGTATTCTCAGATAAGGAACATTTCCTTCTTTTGTACTTTAATGTCTCATTATAAATAGCTATTATGTTTTATTTGATGCTTATTCTGTATTCCTTGATGTAATTCTATTTTTTCCTACTTTAGTATATTAATATAATGCATTAAATTAATAGGTTTTCTTAAGTTGAGCCACTCTTTTCTCTTTGAAATTAATTTAGTGTAGATATGCATTTATGATGTGTAAGCTTACATGTGTTTGCTCATTGATATGGTTTGGCTCTATTTTCACTCCAATCTCATGCTGATTTTAACCCTCATGTTTTGGGTTGGGGGGCCAGGTTGGAGATGTTTGGATCATGGGAGCAGACTTTCTCTTTATGTTCTCCTTATAGTAAATCAGTTCTCATGAGATTGAATTTTTTTGAAAATGTGTGGCACTTTCCCCTTTACACTCTCTTTCCTGCCACCATGTGAAGAAACATTTGATTTCCCTTGGCCTTCTTGCATAGTTGTAAGTTTTCTGAGGCCTCTAGCCATGCCTACTGCACAGCCTGAGAAAATATGAGCCAATTAGGCCTCCTTTCTTTATAAATTACCCAGTCTCAGGTATTTCTTCACAGCTGTGTGAAGACAAAATAATATACTTATATTTTGCTCATGTTTTCACATTGTTGTTTGGAAGTAATATTAATCTTTTTTTGTTTTTAATTCTCATACTTTTTGTTTGAATGTAGTAACAAGACTTTATTAATTTGAAAATTTATTAGGCTTTTGTGTTTTTCTTCTCTTTTTCACTTTTCAGACACATTTCTTCCCTTGAATGTGTGGTAGAATCGAACTATAAAAGCAGTGTATTCTAATACATTTTTATAGGGATAATTTAAATGTGGATGCATTTTTTCAAAATGATATAGCAAGTGCAGTTTCCTAGTTCTTCTTGAGTTGGTTTGGGTAACTGACTTTTTTGTAGAGACTTTTCTGTTTCACTGAAAAAAATAAAATTTGTTTGCAGAAAGATGTTCCTAATACTGTTGTATTTCTAAATTTCTGCTGCCTATCTGAACCTCCCCTGTCTTTATGTCTTAATATTATGTGTTATTTCTTTGCTCAATCAATCTGGTCAAAGATTTGTGAGCTTCATAGTCTTCTCAAAGAACTAATTCTATTACTTTTTGATTAACTTCTGCTCTTCATTTATTATCTTTTTATTTATGCTTTTTTTTTTCTTTTGGTGTATGTGTTTCTTCTTTTCCTAATTATAACAAATGATTCACATACTAGTGCCAGCTTCTTATTTCTTCATGAAATACAACATTTTAACCTTTTAATTCATCACTAACTTTTCTTTTATCAGGTTTCCAAAAGCACTGATACTTAACATTTTCAACTATTATTTAGTTTAGAATGTCAAATTTTTTTTCATGCATTATTAAGAAGTCTGTCTTATATAATTCTAATATAGAGGATTTAAAAATATGTATATTTTTAGACTTGTTTATATTGGAATCAGATAATGTGTTCTTGATAATACATGAACATTTGAAATGTATTTAGACTTGCCTTATGGCATAGTATGTCTTTAAATGTTTCTGAATTTTTAGAACAATATGCATTGCTAAATACTATATCCTATAACTTCCTGTCGCATAAAGTTTTTGAACAGCATCTTACATAATTTGACCTCTGCTGAACCAATAATCTAGGAGTGTTGTATTAAAATGTTTCATTTTAATGTAATTAATTTATTATAATTTCATCAATTTTTGCTGCCTATATTGTAGAAGTATAGATTAAAATTGTGTTATCCTCCTAGTCTACTGACAGTTTGTTGTTATCTAGGTGACCGTAATTTTTCCTATAGTATTAATTGTTGTTTTAAATCTGAAAATATGCAGTGTTTACTAGAGGCATAGAATTTACCAGGTATATCAATTTTTCTAATTTATTAACTGTTTCTTGCCTTGTGTTTGATGTATGTTTCATAAGCAGCACAGAGCTCTGGTTTTTAAAAGGATATATTTTTAATTGACATGTTAATTTAAACTTGTAATGATTTAAATGTTTAGATATATGTCTATAATTTTAAGTTTTTATTTATATTTGCTCCACGTTAAGTTTCACTTTCATCTCCTGTTTAAAATTGGTTGTATTAACCTGTAATATTTTTTCATCATTTTTATATATTCTCATGACTTGAAAAAAGTATATCTTATGTTTAAAACTAATCAATATCTTTACCAGCTTTAGAAAAATTTCAAGATCTTATGTTTTGTTTTGATTTGTTTTATTTTGTATGCTTTAATATGATATTTTAAATTCTATCTTATTTCATTAAATTGTATGAAATGTATTATTATCCATTTTTGTTGATAACTGCTTGCCATTTTTTTACTACATTTCTTCAAGGATGACCTCTTTTTTTCCTAGAAATTTCTTACAGAGAAAAATCTCTGTTCTAGAAAATCTTTCAGCATTTTTTTCAGTCATTTTATTTTTTATGAATTTTTCTTTCTTTTCTGGGAATAAAATTCTGCTTTTAGTTTACTCATTCAGGTCTTTCAAGGAATTAAACTGTTTTTGACTTTTGTTCTCTAAGTGCTCTATTGAGTTTTTACTTTCCACGTACTGTATTTATTGCATCATAGATTTCTATTTTCTCTCTAGATTTTCAGACCTATCTTATCCTTTATTATTATCTTTTAATACTTGACCACACTTTTAATATTACTGTTTTATTTTTAAATTTCATTACGTTACTTATGTTATATTCAATGCCTGCTTATAAAAGGATCTACAGTATTTCTCCAATGGTGCTAGCTGTTTCTGCTTATATTTTTCATGAGGGTTTCTTTCATGACATTTAAACATTTTTCTTATTAATGTGAATCATCTAAACTTTAGGAAAATTCTTCAAGACCTGAGTTTAAATTTTTTAAAAGGATATTTGTTGTGCAGCAGTCAGGTGCCACACAAAAGACTTTTTTTACACCCAATTCTTACACTGAGTTTTTGGAAAGTGACAGAGAGGGTATACATTCTTCTGTCAAACCTACATGATAACAGATTTTGGTTATAAAATTAAAGAGTAAGCATCACATCTATGCTCTTTAAAACTGAAAACCAAAGTTAAGATGAATGTCTTTCTCCCTCCCTGTGGAAAGAGTTTGAATGGTTGTATTCATCAAAGGTTTCACTATAAGCCATCTGCAAGCTGAGGAGCAAGGAAAGCCTATGCAGTTTTCAAAACTAAAGAACTTGGAGCCTGAGGTTTTAGAGCAGAAAGCATCTAGCATGGGAGAAAAATGTAGGCTGAGAGACTAGACCAGTCTCATATTTTTATATTTTTCTATCTGGCAGCTAGTCATGCTGGCAGCTGACTAGATGGTACCTGCTCAGATTAAGGAAGGGTCTGCCTTTTGCAGGTCACTTACTGAAATATTAATCTCCTTTAGGAACACCCTCACAGACACACTGAGGATTAATAATTTTCATTCTTCAATACAATCACATTGACACACAATACTAACTATCCCAAGTCTACCCCTTGGCAACCTGAACCCATGCACATCTACTGAGATTATACATAATCTTTGAATAAACAAAATAATGAAGTCACAATTATGCCTAATACAATACAACTTTTCTTCATACATCTGGAAATGCACCAATCCCCAACCCAAATATCATTACATGAAGTTAATAATACTTAAATGCAAATGCAAAGTTAATAAATCTTATAACACATTATAAAGGAAAAAGGAAATGAAGATATTTTCTAAGTATGAGTGTATAAACAAAAAAATGTTTTTAACAAAAGAAGGAGAAAATACATACAACAGTTACAGTCCTTCAGCTGGTCAAGTGGTTGTAGCTGGTATTGATGACTACCTTCTTCTAAGACCCATTCTGTATTCGCTTTGGCTTCAGCAAGCACCTGAGCATGGTTGGAGATTGTCCAGAGTGAGACAATATCACTAAATATGTTAATTAATTAATTTGGTTAAATCAATCATTTAACCAAAATGATGACTTAGAAATGTAGAAAGCAAAAACCTTTTAGAATTCTTTACAAATTTTGCTAAGGAACAGATTTGTGCCATAAGAATACCTTGTTGTACTTTATTTCATGGCCCAATTTACAAAAAACCCATATAATATCTTTTAAATTTAAATAATGTTCACAAAGAGAATTCCTTTGGCAAGATTTAATTTTACAATCCTTCCAAAACTTGTTTGAACTTTTAGCTTTATATTATCTAATTCAGAATAAACATTTTACCCTAGTCAAGAATTTATATATTCATGACTTCTTATAATTTTTTATTAGAAACACATTTTACTGTAGGTAAATCATTTACTCATATGTAAATCTACTTCCAGTGCTTTTAATTATGTTTTAGAATGGTAAATTCTAGTAATTTTGACTTTAATGTAAAATCAGGTAAATTATTTTAATTATGTGCTTGGTGCGGTAAGGATTTGACTTCCTTCCAGCCAAATTAAGTGTATGGTTAATTCTGTTTGTCCTCAGGCCTTACCAATAATGAAGCAAAGTTGAATTGTTCTCAAAACCCAAAAATGCTGTTTATAAACTTCAAACATTTATGAAAACTAGTATCTGACCTGCTTAATTTAGTCCACCCACTGACACATTGATGACTTTTGTGTTTTAATGATAATTTTTAAGGCTGTTTTTATTTCTCAAAGATTAAAAGTCAGGTAGACAAAAAGGTACACATCTTTTTTTCTTCCCTTCGATAAATATTTGTTCAAAGTTCTTATCACACTTTAAGTTTATTAGAGCTCTATATATAGACATCACACTGACAACACATATATAACTACATAGGCAGAAGAAAACCCAGTAGGCATAAGGGTTTTATTTGCCAGTTTCCAGATTGAATTACTGGCCTCTACTGCATGCATTAGAGTGGCTAGACAAAATGAAGAAAAAGAATTCAGTTGGCTGAGAAAAACACTTTCAGCAGCAAAACAACATGCAACAAGAGAAAAACATAAAGGTCTTTTAAATATACCTATACTTTGGATATCCACTTTTAATCAAGTTGAGGACTCTTTAAGGAAGTCCTTTCAAATTTTCTATTACCTGACTCTAGCAGCACCAAGCCGCCATTTCTGGCTTTCAGATTTTAGCAAAGCTAACTTACAAATAGGAAGAAAAAAAATCAAGGCAGTTTGTAAAGGGGAAGAGAATCGGCAAATGGCAAATGTTACATGTTGATATAAAACCAGAAGGGGCTCTTTCCTTAAGCCAGCATTAAACCTGGGCCATCTTTGTAAAATGACGGAGGCCAAAACAAAACATTGCCACACTGTTACATGTCATGTTCCTAAAAATATAAAACAAAATGGATGCCTGCAGCAAAATTTCCTAACAACCATAGAGGATGATATACAAAGCCAACTAGATTGGCCACAGCTCTAGACCAACCTAAAAATACCTATTCACAATTAAAATTCTGCAAAGAATATAAGCAGTGATTGTTGGAGCATAGCCCAGCAAAACATTCCGTAAGAGGAAGAACAAAATCTTCTGCTTAAAAGTAAATTGCTGACAGGATGAAGAAAAAAAAAAAAGGCTGAAGTGTAGGGCAGGAAAGAACCTTTTCATTCTTATGAAAACAGGTTCCTTCAGCAAGGAGAAAAATTTAATTTCTCTTGGGTGAGGCTGGATCCCTTGGCCAGTGAAGGAGAAGACACCTGGCATTTTTCAGCCCAGAGGAGATGGGAATGAGGAGCCACCATTCAACTATGCATCCTACATGTGCCTGGGGCTGTTTGGGTAGGGTACTGCAGAGTCCCTACCCTGAAGTCTCCTGAAGTGTTGGACTTCAGGAGAAGTCCAAGAATGAAAAGACTTACAAACAAAATAGGAAAAGATTTTTTGATTTACATCTTACCTTACCTCAAGCCCCACATCTAGACAATGAAATCTTATAGAAATTACTCCTTAGTTAAGCTAAAACAAGGATCTTGTCACATGATTATGAAGGAAGAGGCTAATGAATACACTGGAGGGCAAGAAGTAAAGTTTACTGGGCCCAAAGGAAAAAGAAAAAAAAGAAAAAAACTCAGCAAAGTGAGAGGCAATCCTGTTACAGGTCCGGACCTCACAGATTGAGGAACACCAGGTCACCACATAGCAATTTAAGAGTCCAGGCTCCTCTGCTGCCAAAAGGTATGAATTTCAATGGCTCCACCTCCTTTTCCTATTGCACAGGAGGACGTTATTCAGAGAAAAACTGTTAGAAAAGAGCTGGCTTCATTTGAAATCAGCAGTCCAATTTTTCAGCCTTCAGGCTGAAATGAAGTAAGACTTAGTTTTTATAGTTGTTGTAAATATTTTTTTCTTGAATTTCTTTTTCAGATGGCTGATTCTTGGCATGTAAATATGCTCTTACAACTTTTTTATGTAATGTGGTATTCTGCCACTTTACTTAATTTATCAATTCTCAAGATTTTTAGTGTAGTAATTTAAGTTTTGTTATATAAACAGTTATGTGATCTGCAAAGAGAGAAAATTTGACTTTCTCCTTTTTTAGTTGGATGTCTTTCATTTCTTTCTCTTGCACAAATAATCTGGCTAAGACTTCCAGTAATGTGTTGAATAAAGGTGGTAAAAGTGACATCACTGTCTTCTTCTACGTCTTAAGTAGAAGGCTTTCATCTTTTTATTTTCAGTGTGATATCAGCTATTGATTTGTCAAATTTTGCCTTAACTGTGTTGTGGTACATACCATCTATACCTAAACTGTTCAGTTGTTTTAATCACAAAGGCATGTTAAATTTTTCAGAGTAATTTTGCTGCATCTAAAATAAAAAATAAAGGTGCGTAGCAGTAAACTTAATTAAAAAGATAAACACTCTCTGCACGATACTTATAAAACATTGATTAAGAGATTAAAAATCATGAAAAACTTGAGAAGTGTATTTTGGTCATGACTTATAAAAATATTGTTAAAATGGATCTGCTACTCAAGGTAATCAACAGACTCAATGCAAACTCTGTAAAAATACCAATGACATTTTTTCACAGAAATTAAAAAAAGCATTAAAATTTATAGGGAAAAATTAAAGCTCCCTACATAGCCAACGTTATCTTCTAAAATAGAAAAAAGCTGACAGCATCAAATTACCTGACTTCAAAATATACTGCAAGGCTGTAATAAGTAAACAGCATGATACTGGTATAGTAAACAGACACATAGACCAAAGTGTCCACTGATTCCAGTAATAAACTAATAAATGTAGAGCCAAATAATTTTTAAACTGTTTGGGACACACATTTAAGAAAAGTCAACCACATCAATATATGGTGCCAGTAAAATTAATTGTTTAAATACTGAGTAATACAACTAGATGCCTACCTGTTACCATATTTAAATAACATAATTAAAAATAAATAGAAGATTAAAATATAAAACTCAAACTTATAAAATGATTTCAATAAAGCAAAGAGAAATTCTTTATCAAAGAGGACAGAAAAAAATTTTAAATAAGACCCCAGAAGTGCAGGCAACAAAAACAAAAGCAGACAAGTGAAACTACCAGAATCCAAAGAAAAAAAAAAAAGGAAAGTATATTTGCAAAATATATGTATGACAGAGTATAACCAGACAGAATATATAACAATTTTAAGAGCAATAATAATACCCTATTTAGTAATAGGCGAGAGACCTTAAATGACATTTCCCCAAAGAAAACATACTAATTGCCAATTACAAACAAAGATGCTCAACATTATTAATTATTAGAAAAAAATCAAAGCCAAAATGAGATACCAAACTACTCCACATAAAAATGAGTATAGGTTCTAGTTCTAAGATGGCTAAATAAGAACAGCTCCAATCTACACCTCCCAGTATGAATGACACAGAAGATGGGTGATTTCCGCATTTCCAGCTGAGGTACCAGGTTCATCTCACTGGGGCTTGTCAGGCTGTGGGTGCAGGACAGTGGGTGCAGTGCACTGAGTGTAAGCTGAAGCAGGGCGAGGCACTGCCTCATGTGGGAAGTGCGAGGGGTCAGGGAATTCCCTTTCATAGCCAAGCAAAGCTGTGACAGAGAGCACCTGGAAAATTGGGTCACTCCCACCCTAATACTGCTTTTCCAATGGTCTTAGAAAATGGTACAAGAGGAGATTATATCCTGTGCCTGGCTCAGAGGGTGGCACACCAAAGGAGCCTCACTCATTGCTAGCACAGCAGTCTGAGATTGAATTGCAAGGCAGCAGCGAGGCTTGGGGAGGGGCGCCCACCATTTCTGAGGCTTGAGTAGGTAAACAAAGTGTCTGGGAAGCTCAAACTCAGTGGAGCCCACCGCAGCTCAAGGTGGTCTATATGCCTCTGTAGACTCCACCTCTGGAGGTAGGACATAGCCAAACAAACGGCAGCAGAAACCTCTGCAGACGTAAATGTCCCTGCCTGACAGATTTGAAGAGAGTAGTGTTTCTCCCAGCACGGAATTTGAGATCTGAGAATGGACAGACTGCCTCCTCAAGTGGGTCCCTGATCCCCAAGTAGACTAACTGGGAGGCACCCCCCATTAGGGGAAGACAACCTCACATGGCTGGGTACACCTCTGAGATGAAACCACCAGAGGAATAATCATACAGTAACAATTTGCTGTTCAAAAATATTCGCTGTTCAGCAGCTTCCGCTGCTGATACCCAGGCAAACAGGATCTGGAGTGGACCTCCAGCAAACTCCAACAGACCTGTCACTGAGGGTCCTGACTGTTAGAAGGAAAACTAAGAAACAGAAAGGACATCCACACCAAAACCCAATCTGTATGTCACCATCATCAAAGACCTAAGGTAGATAAAATCACAAAGATGGGGGAAAAAAAGAACAGAAAAGCTGAAAATTCTAAAAATAAGAGTACCTCTCCTCCTCCAAAGGAATGCAGTTCCTCACCAGCAATGGAACAAAGCTGGATGGAGAAGGACTTTGATAAGTTGAGAGAACAAGACCTCAGATGATCGAACTTCTCCAAGTAAAGGAGTAAAAAACCTTGAAAAAGGATTAGACGAATGGCTAACAAGAATAACCAATGCAGAGAAGTCCAAAAAAGACTGAAAACCGAGGCATGAGAACTCAGTGACAAATGCACAAGCTTCAGTAACCAATTTTATCAAGTAGAAGAAAGGCTACCAGTGATTGAAGATCAAATGAATGAAATGAAGCAAGAAGAGAAGTTTAGAGAAAAAAGAATAAAAAGAAATGAACAAAGCCTCCAAGAAATATGGGACTATGTGAAAAGACCAAATCTACATCTGATTGGTGTACCTGAAAATGATGGGAAGAATGGAACCAAACGGGATAACACTCTGCGGGATATTATCCAGGAGAACTCCCCAACCTAGAAAGGCAGGCCAACATTCAAATTGAGGAAATACAGAGAACACCACAAAGATACTCCTCGAGAAGAGCAACTCCAAGACACTTAATTGTCAGATTCACCAAAGTTGAAATGAAGGAAAAAATGTTAAGGGCAGACAGAGAAAGGTCGGGTTACCCTCAAAGGGAAGCCCATCAGACTAACAGTGGATCTCTCAGCAGAAACTCTACAAGCCAGAAGAGAGTGGGGGCCAATATTCAACGTTCTTAAAGAAAAGAATTTTCAACCCAGAATTTCATATCCAGCCAAACTGAGCTTCGTAAGTGAAGGAGAAATAAAACACTTTACAGACAAGCAAATGCTGAGAGATTTTGTCACCACCAGGCCTGCCCTAAAAGAGCTCCTGAAGGAAGCACTAAACATAGAAAGGAACAACCAGTACCAGGCACTGCAAAAACATGTCAAATTGTAAAGACCATCAAGGCTAGGAAGAAACTGCATTAACTAACGAGCAAAATAACCAGCTAACATCATAATGCCAGGATTAAATTCACACATAGCAATATTAACCTTAAATGTAAATGGGCTACATGCTCCAATTAAAAGACATAGACTGGCAAATTGGATAAAGAGTCAAGACCCATCAGAGTGCTGTATTCAGGAAACCCATCTCATGTGCAGAGACACACATAGGCTCAAACTAAAGGGATGGAGGATGATCTACCAATCAAATGGAAAACAAAAAAAGGCAGGGTTTGTAATCCTAGTCTCTGATAAAACAGACTTTAAACCAACAAATTTCAAAACAGACAAAGAAGGCCATTACATAATGGTAAAGGGATCAATTCAAGAAGAAGAGCTAACTATTCTAAATATATGTGCACCCTATACAGGAGGATCACCCAGATTCATAAAGCAAGTCTTTAGAGACCTACAAAGAGACTTAGACTCCCACTGTCAACATTAACCAGATCATAATGGTAGACTTTCACAACCCACTGTCAACATTAGACAGATCAACAAGACAGAAAGTTAACAAGGATATCCAGGAATTGAATTCAGCTCTGCACCTAGCAGAACTAATAGACATCTACAGAACTCTCCACCCCAAATCAAAACAATGTACATTCTTCACAGCACCACACCACACCTATTCCATAATTGACCACATACTTGGAAGTAAAGCACTCCTCAGCAAATGTAAAAGAACAGAAATGATAACAAACTGTCTCTCAGACTACAGTGCAATCAAATTAGAACTCAGGATTAAGAAACTCACTAAAAACTGCTCAAGTACATAGAAAATGAACAACCTGCTCATGAATGACTACTGGGTACATAACGAAATGAAGGCAGAAATAAAGATGTTCTTTGAAACCAAAGACAACAAAGACACAACATACCAGAATTTCTGGGACACATTCAAAGCAGTGGGTAGAGGGAATTTTATATCACTAAATGTCCACAAGAGAAAGCAGGAAAGATCTAAAATTGGCACCTTAACAGCACAATTAAAAGAGATAGAGAAGCAAGCGCAAACCCATTCAAAACTAGCAGAAGGCAAGAACTAACTAATATCAGAGCAGAACTGAAGGAGATAGAGACACAAAAACCCCTTCAAAAATCAATGAATCCAGGAGCTGGTTTTCTGAAAAGATAAAAAAAGTGATAGACTGCTAGCAATACTATAAAGAAGAAAAGAGAGAAGAGTAAAATAGACACAATAAAAAATGATAAAGAGGATATCACCACCAATCCCATAGAAATACAAACTACCATCAGAGAATACTATAAACACCACTATGCAAATAAACTGGAAAATCTAGAAGAAATGGATAAATTCTTCGACACATACACCTTCCTAATAATTAAACCAGAAGGAAGTTAAATCTCTCAGTAGACCAATAGCAGGCTCTGAAATGGAGGCAATAATTAATAGTTTACCAACCAAAAAAAAGTATAGGACCAGATGGATTCACAGTTGAATTCTACAAGAGGTACAGGAGGAGCTGGGACCATTCCTTCTGAAACTATTCCAATCAATAGAAAAAGAGGGAATCCTCCCTAACTCATTTTATGAGGCCAGCATCATCCTGATACCAAAGCCTGGCAGAGACACAACAAAAAAGAGAATTTTAGACCAATATCCCTGATGAACATTGATGCAAAAGTCCTCAATAAAACCCTGGCAAACCAAATCCAGCAGCACTTCAAAAAGCTTATTCACAATCATCAAGTGGGCTTCATCCCTGGGGTGCAAAGCTGGTTCAATATACAGAAATCAATAAACATAATCCAGCATATAAACAGAACCAAAGACAAAATCCACATGATTATCCCAATAGATGCAGAAAAGGCCTTCAACAAAAATCAACAGCCCCTCATGCTAAAAACTGTCAATAAATTGGGTATTGATGGGATGTATCTAAAAATAATAAGAGCTATTTATGACAAACCCAGAGCCAATATCATACTGAATGGGCAAAAACTGGAAGCATTCCCTTTGAAAACTGGCACAAGATAGGGAAGCCCTCTCTCACCACACCTATTAAACACAATGTTGGAATTTCTGGCCAGGGCAATCACACAGGAGAAAGAAATAAAGAGTATTCAATTAGGAAAAGAAGCGGTCAAATTGTCCCTGTGTGCAGATGACATGATTGTATATCTAGAAAACCCCATCATCTCAGTGCATAAACTCCTCAAGCTGATAAGCAAGTTCAGCAAAGTCTCAGGATACAAAATCAATGTGCAAAAATCACAAGCATTGTTATACACAATAAGAGAGAAACAGAGAGCCAAATCATGAGTGAACTCACATTCAAAATTGCCTCAAAGAGAATAAAATACCTAGGAATTCAACTTACAAGGGATGTGAAGTACCTCTTAAAGGAGAACTAAAAACCACTGCTCAATGAAATAAAAGAGGACACAAATAAATGGAAGAACATTCCATGCTCATGAATAGGAAGAATCCATATTGTGAAAATGGCCATACTGCCCAAGATAATTTAAAGATTCAATGCCATCCCCATCAAGCTACCAATGACTTTCTTCACTGAATTCGAAAAAACTACTTTAGAGTTCATATGCAACCAAAAAAGAGCCCACATAGCCAAGTCAATCCTAAGCCAAAAGAACAAAGCTGGAGGCATCACACTACCTGACTTCAAACTATACTACAAGGCTACAGTAATCAAAACAGCATGGTACTGGTACCAAAACAGAGATATAGACCAATGGAACGGAACAGAACCCTCAGAAATAATGTGACGTATCTACAACTATTTTATCTTTGACAAACCTGAGAAAAACAAGAAATGGGGAAAGGATTCCCTATTTAACAAATGGTGCTGGGAAAACTGGCTAGCCATATGTAGAAAGCTGAAACTGGATCCCTTCCTTACACCTTATACAAAAATTAATTCAAGACTGATTAAAGACTTAAATATTAGACCTAAAACCATAAAAATCCTGGAAGAAAACCTAGGCAATACCATTCATGACATAGGCATGTGCAAGGACTTCATGTCTAAAACACCAAAAGCAATGGCAACAAAAGCCAAAATTGACAAATGGGACTAATTAAACTAAAGAGCTTCTGCACAGCCAAAAAAAAAAGTACCATCAGAGTGAACAGGCAACCTACAGAATGGGAGAACATTTTTGCAATCTACTCATCTGACAAAGGGTAATATCCAGAATCTACAATGAACCCAAACAAATTTTCAAAAAAAACCAAACAACCCCATCAACAAGTGGGCGAAGGATATGAACAGACACTTCTCAGAAGAAGACATTTATGCAGTCAACAGATACAATAAAAAATGCACATGAAAAAATGCTCATCATCACTGATCATCAGAGAAATGCAAATCAAAACCACGATGATATTTCATCTCACACCACTTAGAATGGCAATCATTAAAAAGTCAGGAAACAACTGGTGCTGGAGAGAATGTGGAGAAATAGAAGCACCTTTACACCATTGGTGGGACTGTAAACTATTTCAACCATTGTGGAAGTCAGTGTGGCAATTCCTCAGGGATCTAGAACTAGAAATACCATTTGACCCAGCCATCCCATTACTGGGTATATACCCAAAGGATTATAAATCATGTTACTATAAAGACACATGCACACATATGTTTATTGCGGCACTATTCACAATAGCGAAGACTTGGAACCAACCCAAATGTCTAACAATGATAGACTTGATTAAGAAAATTTGGCACATATACACCATGGAATACTATGCAGCCATAAAAAACTATGAGTTCATGTCCTGTGTAGGGACATGGATGAAGCTGGAAACCATCATTCTCAACAAACTATCTCAAGGACAAGAAACCAAACGCTGCACGTTCTCACTCATAGGTGGGACTTCAATAATGAGAACACTTGGACACAGGAAGGGGAACATCACATTTTGGGTCCTGTTGTGGGTTGGAGGGAGGAGGGAGTTATAGCATTAGGAGATATGACTAATATAAATGATGAGTTAATGGGTGCAGCACACCAACATGGTACATGTATACATATGTAACAAACCTGCACGTTGTGCACATGTACCCTAGAACTTAAAATATAATATATATAGATATATATGAGTATAATTGAGTATAATTGGAAATGATACATTTCTGGCCCTTTCAACAGGAGAAATTGTGACATAACTCAAGGTCTATCATTTAGGTGATGTGACTTCCTCTTCTGCCTGAACCCTGCTTAGAAGGGCCATTGTGCCATAGAGTTTCATGCAGCCCCGCAGTTATGCGACTTTCCTGCCAGAAACTTGTCTAGAAGGAGAATAGTGGAAAATGTCTGGCTCAGCATTTAGGTGACATGGCTGTCATGCCTGTTTCATTACCACAGAATAAATTTTGACATATATCTAGGCACAGTTCAGAGGCATGATAGTAGCTCTCATATGTGGACACCACAAATAAGAGTAATTTTCACTCTTGTAACTTGCTTTAGAAACACAAGTGATTTCTTATATCTCTTTCTGGTAAAGAGGTCACAGAAGATTATAACAGGCTCAGATAAGGCCCATGGCTTGTACAGAGAGTGTTATCACAGAACCCAGCAGAATGGTGAAATTGTGAGTCTCATATGCACATGCAGCTGACAGTACGGACTGTCACATCTCACATACATGAAGCCAACTGTCACTCATGAAAGCAGGACATGTATGGTATTGTAAATCTCATCTCTGGAATATTCTGACAGTGTGATTGTGATATAAACATTTGCTGAGCATCTGTGTGATTTGACTCTCCAGACTGGTTCCAGATCATATATGGGATAGTTATCTCTACCTGGACCAACGTATAAATGATGTGACTCTCCTGCCTTGGCCCTTCTCTCAGTAAGGATTGTGACATATTACTGGATCAAAAACCCAGGTGATGTTACATTCTTGCCTGAGCCTTGGCCACAGACATCACTGTGACATATCACTATGTCCACCAATTAGGTGATGTAACTCTCCTCTCTAGAATGGGTCCTGAACAGAGTGGGTGCAAGTGACATATTTCTAGGCCAGGTAAATTGGTGATGATTCTTTTTCACCAGTGCTATATGTCAAGGAAGGCATAGTAATATATCTCTGTGACTGTCACCTAGATTATGTGACTTGAGGCTTGGACCTCACCCACATACAGCATTATGACATAACAATTAAACCTACTGGAAGATGATGTAACTCTTTTGCCTTGGTGTTTTCCTAAGGAAGCCTTGTGACATATCACAGTACCCAGCACCCAGGTGATGTGTCTGTTCTACCTGGTGTCTTCCCATGTGTTAGATTGTGACATATACCTAAAAAAGCACATAAGTGATACAACTCTCCTCTCTGAGTCCTGCCTACTGGGGACATTGGGACATATCTCTGAGCCCATGACCTAAGTGATATGATTTTCTTCAGCTGCCTGGGCCTTTAAAATGGTGGGATTATGGCATATTGCTGAGCTTAGAGTTTCACTTATGTGACCGTACTCTTTTTTCTGAACCATGCCCACAAAGGGAAATTTTGACCTATTCCACAAAGATGATATTACCATTTTGTCAGAGTTCTGAATTAAGAAGAAATTATTGCATATGAGTGGGCCAAGCACCCGGAAGATGTTACTATCCTGCCTGTGACAGAGCCTCTCATAGCCAGTCTTATTGCCATAAGTAAAATAATGGGTCTCCTATTTGTATAAAGTTCATAGAGGATTATGACACTCAGGCATACCATATAAAGCCTCAGTTGTACAAACAATGTCATAACAGGGAATAGCAACCAGATGTTATTGTGAATCATGGACACACCCAGCTAACTTGATTGTCATTCTCACACAAGAACATGGCCTACAAATAAAGTATTAAATTTCACACAAAAGAACACTCAAAGGTTGAAATTGTTCCTTTCATACACGGTATAACCCCATGGATGGTTTGGTTATGCAATATTGAGCCCAACTGTGAGGCTGGACTTTCCTACTGGAACACAATCTTCAAGTGGAATTGGGAAATTGTTCCATGGATCCTGCCCATTGTTGAGACTGTGACTCCTCTGCTTTGACCCAACTCACAAGAGGTGTTGACTCACATGCACAAATCCAGGACTTGTGTAGGGCTATAAAACTTATTTCTGAATATTTCCAAGTGTGTGATTAGAACATAATAGTTAGCCCAGCTCCTGCATAATTTGACTCTTCTTTTTAGGCCATAACCACAGATAAAATTGTGACATATGTGGACCATATACCTAAGCAAAGGTGCCTTGGCCTGCCTACCATGGACAATTTTACATGTCATTGGGACCAGCACCAAGGTGATGTGAATTCTTTGTCTCTTTCCTGTCTATGAAAGGGATTGTGGCTTACATTTAGATCCATCATATATGTGATGTGACTCCCTTCTACTACCTTGGCCCTGCTGTTACAGTGCATTGTGACACATAACAGGGTACTGTGCCCAGGTGGTGTGACTCTCCATTTTGGATTCTGCCAACAGGAAGCTTTGTAATATATCACTTGGCTGAGCACCTAGCTAATGTTTCTTCTCTCTTGTCCTGCAATGACCAGAGGGGAGATTGTGACATATTACTAAACCCAGCACCAAAGTGAGGTCACTGTCACACGTTGGTTCTGCATATAGTGAATATTTTGACATATATCTAGGCCAATTGCTTGGGTAAAGTGAGTCTCCTCACCCTCTTAAGATTTGCTCACAGGGGGTATTTTGATTTATCACTAAAACCAGTATCCAGCTGATGTGAGTCTTCTTCCAGGGTCCTGCCCAAAGGAAAGATTGTGACATCTCACTGGACCAGGACCCACCTAGATGTTGTGACCTTTCTGCTTGCTCTCTGCCCACAGATGATATTGTTCCATATACCTAAGACCACTTAAGAGGACTAATCATGACTGTTAAATCTGGATCCAGTTCATATTCAACATGGAGACTCCCATTCCTCAAACTTTCCACCAATGTTATTATGACATATACCGTTGCCCAGCTCTTGAGTGATTTAATACTGCTGCCTAGTTGTAGTCCTCAAATGAAATTTGGACATATACTTCAACTAATCACCTTGATGATTTGACTCTCCTGCCTTAACAATATCTTCCAGAAGGATTGTAACAGATTTCTGGACACATCATCTAATTATCTGACACTCCTCTCTAACCTGGACCCTGCTTCCACTAGGGATTGTAGCATTTCTAAGCACTACATCCAAATTATATGACTCTCTTGCCTGGTCTTTTTAAGGGGAGTCTTTGTAACATATTTCTGGGCCTGTCATTTAGGTGATATGGGTCTCCTCTTCTGCCTGGACACCACACACAGGGATATTGTGTTATACATCTTGATGTAACCCCCAAGTTATGCAACATTTCTGCCCAGGACATGAGTACAAGGAGAATATCGGAAAATTTCTGACTCACTATTTAGGTGACTTGGCTGTCATTCCTGTTTCATTACCACAAACTAAATTGTGACATATACCCAAACACAGCTCATGGGCATGATAATGATTCTCCTATGTGGATCCCACAAATAGAAGTAATTTTGACTCTCCTAACTTACTTTAGAGACATGAGTGGTTAAATCTCTATCTGGTACAAAAAAAAAATCAAAGAAGATTACAACAGCTACATATTTTATAAAGCCTTTAGCTTGTACAGAAAGCATCACTACAGAACCCAGCAGAAGGTGAAACTGTGAGTCTCAAATGCACACCCAGCTGACAGTAAAGACTATCACCATCTCACCTATATGAAGCTAACAGTCACTCAAGAAAACAGACCATGTGTGATATTGTAAATCTCATCATGGGAATTTTCTGCTAGTGTTATTGTGATATAAATTTTGCTGAGCACCTGTGTGATTTAATTCTTCATAATGGTTCTGGCTCACATATTTTATTATACTGTCTACCTGTGCCTACTTCTACATGATGGGACTCTCCTGCCTGGGCCCTGCTCTCAGTAAGAATCATGACATATTATTAGATCTAGCACCTAGGTTATGTTACATTTTTGCCTTAGCCATGCCCACAGAAATTATTGTGATATATCACTGTGTCAACCACTTAGATAATGTAACTCTGCTCTTTATAATGGGCCCTACACATATTTGGGGATAATTACATATGGTTGAGCCAGGCACACAGGTGACAATACTCTTTTGTTAGAGCCATGTCCTAAAAAAAGCACTGTGACAAATCTCTGGGCCAATCTCTTAGGTAATGTTGCTCTCCTGCTGGGGTCCTGCTTTCCTGAATAGTGACATATTGCTACACCAGGCATTGAAGTGATGGTACTCTTTTGCCAGAGTCATGTCTCAAGGAGAACATTGTGACACATCCTTGTGAGTATCACCTAGGAAATGTAACTCCCTGCTTCAGTGTGGCCCACAAAGGGCATTGTGATATAAAGGTAGAATCTAAACCATTTGTTGTAACTCTCTTGTTTGACACTTGTCCTAAGGGAACCTTGTGACATATCTCAGGAACCAGGATCAAGGTAATGTGACCCTTCTGCCTGGCTTCACCTCACATGTTAGATTTTTTTCATACATCTAGCTAAACACCTATGTAATATGACTCTTCTCTTCTGTCTGAGGCTTGCTTATTTCAGACATTGGGCCATATTTCTGAGCCAGTTTCCTAAGTGATGTAATTCTTTTCATCTGCCTGAGCCTTTACAATGGAGTGATGTGACATATTGCTAAACCCAATACTTAGTTTATATGACTCTTCTTTTTTTCCCAAAACATACACATGAAAAGGAATTTTGACATATTGCAGGGCCCAGCACCCAAATGATGTTCCTCTTCTGCCTGGATCCTGCATAAAGAGAGAATTATGGCATATTGCTGTGTCCCCCACCCTGATGCTGTAACTGTCTTGCTTGTGCCCAAGCAACAGAAAGTATTTTTACATATCTTGGGCACATGAGGTAGGAGTTTTTGCTCTCATCACTTGTCTGTTTCTTGGTCTTGTTTTGTTTGTTTTTGTTGTTTTAGAACTTGGGATTGTGCCACATTGCTGGGTCCAGCACCCAGTAAATGTAACCCTCATTTCTAGACCCTCCATAGATAAGGCATTGTGACATATTGCTTGGCACAGCACCTCAGTTCTACCACCCTCCTGCCAAGTATTTTTTTCCTACAAATGGGATTATGAAATTTACATTGATTCAATTCAGAGTCATGATGATCAAACTGAAATTGGGATTCCACTAATAACAGATATTTTCCTGTCATCTCTACACTTAGGGAAATACTTAAAGTTGTGACTTGCATATTGGTAGAAAGCTCACAGCAGTGTACAACAATAACTCATACTCTAAAAACTGCTTGGGTGGTACACAGAGTTTTAAAACAGGGCCTAGCAAAAGGTTAAGATCATGACTCTTGATTACATGTGCAGGTGAGTGAAAAGTTTTCAGCATCCCATATTTACAAAGCGAACATTGAAGTCCTGAGAATAGCAAGTAAATAAAGTACAAAGTTGAAATTTTTCACTTTTATATGTAGATCTTGCTATAGGTAAGATGGTGACTATTTTTTGGACCCAGATCATAGGCATAATAATGGGTCTCCTGTCTGAACCCAGCCTATTAGAAAGATGTTGACAATCATAACTGGGTTTAAGGCAATATGTAAGATTGTGAGGAAATACAAGCCTGTAGGCCTCAGAGTGGTTTGTGACTCTCATGTATGTTGCATAAAGCCTCTGGATGTTGTAAAGTGTGCAATATAATGATGCAGAACACATATAAGGTTGTGACTGTAATATAAACACCAAGCTAACAGTTAAAGCTGTCACCTAGAAGATGAGGAGATTGTGTCATATTACTAGGCCTAGTACCCTGGTGTTTAGACTTCTGGCTTAAATTCTTTACCATAGGTGCCTTGTGAAATATTGCTGTCTATACATATACAATGTATGTATATATAATGTATACATATACACAATGTATATATAATGTATACATATACAAAATGTATGTATATATAATGTATATATACACAATGTATGTATATACAATGTACATATACACAATATGTATATACAATGTATATATACACCATATATAAAACATGGATATATATACACATGTATACATATATACATACATGGATATATATACACACACAATGTATATGTATATAATGTGTGTGTGTGATATATAATATCTCTGAGTTAGAATCATCATAATGTGACTCTTCTGCTTGGAGTCAGACTACAGGGGATACTATTACATATCTCTGGGACTATCAGCTAGGTGATGTGTCTCTCCTGCCGGGGTCTGGCCCACAGGGCACACTGTCATATATCGCTGGATATAGCATATATGTAATGTGACTCTGCTCTCTGCCTTGATACTGCCCACTGAAGAATTTGTGACTCACCACCGAGTACAAAACCTAGGTGATGTGACTCTTCTCTTTGTGCTGGACTCTACCAAGAGAGGGAATTACAACATATTTCTGTGCCCAGCACCTAGAGGTTGTGACAATCCATGATTTTTTCAACCTTGTATACAGTGGGCATTATGACATATTATTTGAGACTGTATGGAGGTATTATGACTCTTCTCCCTAGGTCCCGCCTACAAAAGAGATTACAAGTATCCCTCACTCAGTACCCAGATGATGTGACTCTTCTGTCTTGTCTCTGTCTATAGGTGGAATTGTGACATATACTGGATTCAGCTCATATACACAATAATAACTCTCAAAACCAGAGCTAGTCAGGGAAGACATTTCAACTCTCCTAGCCAGTCTTGTGGTCATGGGTAATGACCTAGATCTACCACCTGTAAGAATTCACAGAAAATTATGCTACTCAGGCATATCATATAAAGCCTGGGTGGTACAAAGTGTGTCATAACAGTCACCAGCAGCCAGGTGTTATTCGGACTCTTGGATGCATACCTAGCTGAAATGATTGTCATTCTCACACATAAACAGAGCCTCTGAATAAGGAACAAATTCTCACACATATAAGCATTGTTACTCACATACTTGAATCTGATCCAAAGGGGGTCTGGTGATGGTTAAATCATGAATCCACAGACATGTGGTGCTTTGACTCTCCTACTGGAACACAAGCTTCAAGTAAGATTGGGGCTCTTATACATTTATCTTGCCCTTTGTTGTGATTGTGACTCCAGTACTTCGACCCAACTCATAGGAGGTGTTGACTTTCATACCCAAAGCCAGCACATGTGTGGGACAGTGAAACCTATTTCTGAACATTTTCAAGTATATGATTGAGAAGCATGATTTTGCCCAGAATCTGAGTGTTTTGACTCTCCTTTCTATGCCCAGAGCACTGTTGAAATTGCAACATACATGCATCTAGCACCTAAGCAATGTATAACACCTTTTCGGCAATATATCAAAGGACAGTTTTATATATAACTGGGACCAGCACCCAGCTGATGTAAAACCCTGGACTGAACCCTGCCAACAAAGAGCACCAAAGATTTTATCTAGGTCTATCACATAAGTGATGTGACTTCCTGCTACTGCCTTGGCCCTGCACTTATATTGCATTGTGATACATAACTGGGTACTGCACCCAGGTGAAGTGACTCTATTTTTGAAACAGTTCTGCTAATAGGAAGTTTGGTAAATCATCACTTGTCTCAGCACCTAGGTGATGTTTCTTCTCTCTAGCCTGGTCCCTGAATACTATAGAGATTGTGTCATATTACTGAACCCAGCACCAAAGTGAGGTGTCTCTCCTGCCTTGGTCCTTCACATATAGAGGGCATTGTCACATATATCCAGCCCAATAGCCTGGGTGATATTCATTTTCTCTTGTGCCTAAGCTCTGCCCACAATGGGAGAGGGGGACTTAGGTTTATCACTGAAACCAGCATCCAGGTGATGTGATCCTTCTTCCAGGGTCCTTCCCACAAGGAGGATTGTGACATTTCCATGGACCAGTACCAACTCAGGTGATAGATTTATTTCTTTTCCCTGTCCACAGGTGATATTTTGCCATATACATGAGAGCAGATCAATGGCCTATTAATTACTCTTGTACCTGGAGCCAGGACATGTGTAGGATCATGATTCTCATAGCTGAACCTTGTCACAAGTATGATTGTGACATACACTTTTGCCCAGGACCTGAGTCATTTTATGATCCTGCCTAGTTATAGTCCACAGATGATGTGTTTATATATACCATGTCCAAGAACCTTGATGATTTGACTCTTGTGTCTTAACAGTTTCATCAGAAGAGATCGTAAATATCTTTGGAAATAGAAACATTGGGAAATAAATCACTGAGCCCATGACCTAAGTATTGTGACTCTTGTTTTCTGCCTAGGTTTTCACTATAGGAGATTTTTACACATTGCTGAGCCCAACAGTAAGCATATGTGACTCTCCTCTTTTTCCCGAACCGTGCCCATAAAAAAGTTATTGGGACCTATTGCAGGACCCATAACCCAGATGATATTACTCTTCTGCATGAGTTCTGCATAAAGAGCAAATAATGGCATGTTGCCTATTGCTGGGCCCAAAACCTTTGTGATGTGTCCCTCCTGCCTCTGTAGGAGCCATTGAAGGTATTTTGACATATCTTGGCCCCATTATGCAGGTGTTTTGCCTCACATAACTTGGCTGGGTTTTTCACGTGTGAGATGGTGTATTTCTGAGCCCAGCACCCAGTTAATGTGACCCAATTTCCTATGCCCTGCCTACAGAAGGAAATGTGACATATTGGTTTGTACAGTACTTAAGCAATGTTACCCTCCTGCCTAACTTTTTGCTCCTAATGGGATTATGACATATGCTTTGCTTCAGTTTACAGGCATGATGATTATATCTATATTGGGATTCTGCCAATAGGAGATATTTTTCTCTCATCGTTAACCTTAAAACAATAGGTAAGGTCCTGTGTTTCATAGTGATACCAACCTCAAAGAATCTTACAACAGTAAGTTATATTGTATAAACTCTTTGTGGTAGAGAGTTTCATAACAAGGGCCAGCAAAAATTTCAGATTGAGACTCTCAGTTACACACCCAATTGAAATTAAAAGTAGTCACTATCCCACATTTACAATATCTACTGTTGAGGTCCTGATTCTAACAAGGGAATACAGCGTGAAGTAGGAATTGTGGTTTTGTATGTGGATCAGGCCACAGATACGATGGCTGCTCATTTCTGAACCCAGATCACTGACATAATAATAAGTGTTCTCTTTTAGCCCTGTCTATAGGAGAGATGTTGTCTATCCAACATGGTCAATATTTATGATTTTGAGTCCACATGAGCATAAAAACATCAGAGAGGATTGCAACTCTCAAGGAGGTTTTATAAAGTGCCAGATGTTGTAGAGAGTGTCATACGCTGGCCCAGCATACACATGAGATTCTGACTCTAATATACACGCTCAGCTAAAAGTGAAAGGCATCATCTTACAAGACGAAAAGATTGTGTTGTATCACTGGACCTAATAGTCAGGTTTTCAGAGTTTTTGGCTCAAATTCTTTCTCTTGGTGCATTGTTACAAATCGCTGTGTCAGAATTATAACAATATGACTCCTCTGCTTGGACCCAGACAACAGGGGATATTATCACATATCTCTGGGACTATCAGCTAGGTGATATATCTCTCCTGCCAGTGCCCTGCCCACAGAGGACACTGTGACATATCACTAGATATAGCATCTAGGTAATATGACTCTCCTCTCCTGTCTGGATCCTGCCCACTAAGGAAATAATGACATACCATTGAGTGCAAAACTAGGTGATGTGACTCTCTACTTTGTCCAGGACACTGCCAGGAGAAAAGATTATAACCTATTGCTGAGTGTGGTACCTAGGGGTACCACTATTTTTCCACCTTGTATACAGTGGGCATTATGACATATTATTTAAGACTGAGCCATTTTTTATGACTATTTTGACTGGGTCCTGCTTACAGAGGAAGTTATAGTGTATCCTTGTCTCAGGGCCTAGAAGATATGACTTTTCTGATTGTCTCTGTCCAAAGGTGAAATTGTCACTTATACCTTGATTAAGCTCATATGCAAAATAATAACTCTGCTACCTAGACCCAGCCAGGGAAGATATTTTGACTCTCATAGCCAGACTTAAGAACATGGATAAAATCCTAGATCTCCTACCTGTAAGAATTCACAGAAAAATATGTTACTCAGATATATCACGTAAAGCCTGAGTAGTACATAGAGTGTCCTAACAGGCACCAGCAACCAGGTTCTGTTGTGACTCTTGGATGCACATCCAGCTGACACAATTGTCATTCTCTCACATGAACAGTCTATGAATGAGGTACTAAATCTCACACAGATAGGCAGTTGAAGCTTGAAATTTTTACTCTCATACATAAAACTGGCCCACAGGTGGTTTTTTGATGTTTGAACAATGAGTCAGCAGACATGTGGTGCTTTGACTCTCTGGAATACAATCTTCAAGTGGGAATGGGGCTTGTGTACATGGAGCTTGCCCATTGATGAGACAGTGACTCCTGTACTTTGACCCAACTCATGGGAGATGTTCACTCTTATATTCAAAGACAGAACTTGTGTGGGACTGTGAAACATATTTCTGAACATTTTCAAGTGTGTGATTGAAAATGTTACTTTGCCTAACATCTGAGTGTTTGACTCTCCTTTCTAGGTTCAGAGCACAGTGGAAACTGTGACATACATGCAGCAAGTACCTGAGCAATGCATAACACCTTGTTTGGCAATGTGATATAGGAAAATTTACAAATCAATGAGACCAGCACCCAAGTTTTGTGACATTTCTTTTATATCCCTGCCTACAAAGAGAATATTGGATTATTTGTGGCTGAAGATTTAGGTGATGTTGTTGTCCTCTGTGTCTAATAACCACAGAGGGGTTGGTGCCATATACCTAGACACAGCTAACAGGCATGATACTGACTCTTATATGATACTGACTCTTATATACGCAGCCAGTAGGAGAAATTTTGACCCATATAACTAGGTTGAGGTACATCAGTGATGTCCAGGGTCTAATTCTGGTAAAAATGTCACAGAAGATTACAACACTCACACATATTTTATAGGACCCTTGGGTTGTATAGAGAGTGTCATAAAAGGGACTAGCACAGAGAGGAAATTCTGAGTCTCATATGCACATCTAACTGACAGTAAAGACTTTCACCATCACAGATGGATGAAAGCAACTCTCCTACATGAAAACAGGACATGTGTGATACTGTAAATCTAATCCCTAGAATTTTATTTCATTGTGACTGTGATGTAAGTCTTTGCAAGCACCTGTGTGATTTCACTCTTCAGACTGATTCCAGTCTACATATGAGATTTGTATATCTACCTGGGCCAAACTTGAAGTGATGAGACTTCTCTGCCTGGCCCCTCCTCTCAGTAAGAACTATGACATCACTGGATCCAGCATCAAGGTGTCGTTACATTTTGCCGCATCATGCCTGAAAATATCATCGTGGCATATCACTTTGTACATCAGTTAGAAGATGTAACTCTCCTGTCTGGAATGAATCCTGCACACAGGGCAAAATAACATATTCCTAGGACAGACACACATGTGATGATACTCTTTTGCCAGGGCCATACCCAAAAGAGGGCATGTTGACATATCACAATTCCTATCATGGAGGTGATATGGCTCTTCTGCTTGGGAACTGCCTACTTGAATAGTGACATATTGCTAGGTCAGCCACAAAGGTAATGGTGCTGTTTTGTCAGGGCCATGCTTTCAGAAAGGCTTTGTGACATATCTCTCAGCTTATCACTTAGGTGATGTGCTTGGCCTTGGTCCTTGGTCCTGCTTGTCCCTGACCACATGGAGCATTGTGAAATAACAGTGGAACAGGGACCTAGGTGATGTAACTGACTTGCCTATGTTCTTTTCTAAGGGGGACTGACTTGTGAGTATCTCAGGATACAGGAAGAGAAGATGTGGCTCTTCACCCTGGTTTCTGCCCACATATTAAATTGTGACATATACTTAAAGAGACACTTAGGTAATCTGACTCTTTCTGCCTGAGCCCTGTGTACTGGTGACATTTGGTCACACCTCTTAGCCCATGACATAAGTAATGTGACTCTCTTCTGTCTGGGTCTTAACAACAGAAACATTTTGACATATTGATGAGCTCAGCACTTAGGTAATATGACTCTCGTCTTCTTGCCGAACAATGCTCATGAATAGGGCTTTTGCAATATTTCAGGGTCCTACACATGGGTGATGCTACTTTTCTGCATAAGTCATGCATAAACAGGGAATTGTGGCATATTGCTTGGTCCAGTACACTAATGACATTACTCTCCTGCTTGTGCCTGAGCCACAGGAAGTATTTTGGGATATCTTTGGCCAATTTTTTAAGTGCTTTGGCTCTCATAACTTTGCTGGGTTTCTTCCACCTGTGGTTGTATTATAATGCTGGCTTCAGCCCCCAGTTAATGTGACCTTATTCCCTAGGCCCTGCCTAGAGAGGGCACTGTGACATATTACTTGCCCCAGTACCTAAGTGATGTTAACCTTCAGCCTAGTTATTAGCCCACAAATAAGATTATGACATATACCGTCCTCCAGTTGAAAGGCATGATGATCAAACTTATACTGAGATTCTTCCAATAGGAAATATTTTGCCACTAACCACTATGTTTTGGTCAATAAGGTCCTTTATTCATATTTCTACAAATCTCACAGAAGTTTACAACACTAACTCATATCATACAAACTTCTTGGGTGGTACAGAGACTTTTATAACAGGGCCCAGCAAAAAGTCAGGATTGTGACTCCTGACTACACAAGTGAAAGTAAAAATTGTTACTGTCTTACATTTACAAAGCCCATTGTTGATGTCCTGATTCTAATGAGTGAATAAAGCACAATGTCAGAATTGTGATTTTCATAAGTCAATCTGGCAACAGGTGGAATCATGACTCATTTCTGGACTCAGCTCACAGAAATAATAGTGGCCTAATTCTTTAAGCCAGTCTTTAGGAGAGATGTTGACTGTCATATGTGGGTTTAGGGGAATCTAAGTTTGCAAATCCATATAAGCATGTAGGCATCAGAGAGGCTTGCAACTCTCATGCATGTTGTATACAGTACTCAGATGTTGTAGGGAGTGTCATACAATGGCCAGCACGCACATGAGACTGTGATTCTCCTACACACAAGTAGCCAACAATTAGTAGTGTCACCCTTAAAGATGAGGAGATTGAGTCATATCCCTTGGCCTAATACCCTGGTATTATGATGTTAGGTTTAAATTCTTTTTCTTAAGGACATTGTTACATATCACTGGGTCAGAATCATGATAATGTGACTTCTGCATGGGCCCTGCAAACAACATATATTTTCATATATCTCTGGTCCTTTTGGCTAGCTGATATGGCTCTCCTGCCAGTGCCCTGCCCACAGGGGACATTCTGACATATGGCTAGATATAGCATCTAGGAAATATGACTCTCCTCTGCTAATTGGATCCTGCCCATTGAAGAAAGTGTGACATACCACCAAATCCAAAACCTAGGTGACATGAATCTCCTCTTTGTCCTGGATTCTGCTAAGAGTGGAAATTATTATATATTGCTGAGCCCAGCACCCAGGAGTTGTGATTCTCTTTTTTTTCCTTCAAACCTGTCCTTACAGGGGATGGTGACATATTGCTTGATGCTGTACCCAGGTGATGTGGTTCTTCTGCTTGGTGTCTGCCCACACGTTAGAATGTGATATATAACCAAGAAAGTCCCTACATGATATGATTCACCTTTTCTGTCTGGGCTTTGCCTCCTGGGAACAGTGGGATATATCTCTGTGCCCATGACCTAAGTGAAATGACGCTATTTTTCGCCTGGTATTTATAATCGGGCTATTGTGGAATATTGCTGAGTTCATCACTCAGTTTATTTGTCTCTACTTTTTTTTCTAGAGCCATGCCCACAAACAGACTTTTTGACATATTGCATGGCCCAGCCTCGAGACAATGTTACTCCTTTGTCTGGGTACAGCATATAGAGAAAATTATGGCATATTGCTGAGACCAGCACCCTGACAATGTCATTTCAGAGCAGCACATTATTTCATCTATCATGCCTGCCCCATAGTCATAGAACTTTTTTAAACATATTCTGGGCTTATTGTGTGTGTTTTGACTCTCATCCCTTGGCTGGGATGGTTTCATATTGCTGAGTCCAGCACCCAGTTAATGTGACTCTAATTCTTATACCGTGCCTAGGAATTAGTGATATGCTACTTAGCACAGCAGCTAAACAATCTTACCTGCCAACCTAGTTTTTGCCCACAAAAGGGACTATGATATATACTTTACTTCAGTTTACAGGCATGATAGTAAAACTTATGTTGGGTTTCAGCCAATATCATTTATTTTTCCTTTCATCGCTAGGCTTAGGGCAATAGTTAAGGTCCTGAATTGCTATTTGTACCAAACACACAGCGCCTTACAACACTAACTCATAATATATTATCTCCTAGTATGGCACAGAGAGTTTTAAGCCAGGACCCATCAAAAAGTTCAGATTGGGATTCTCTCGATTCCACACCCAGGTAAAAGTGAATGTTGTTATCATACCACATATGCAAATCCCACTGTTAGGGTCCTAAGTCTAACAGGAGAATAAAGTACAAAGTTGGAATTGTGAATTTCATATGTGGATCTGGCCACAGGCGGGATGGTGACTCATTTCTGGATTCAGCTCACAGACATCATAATGTGTCTCATTCCTGATCCTAGCCTACAGAAGAGACCATTATACCTGGGTTACGTTAGTTTGTGTGACTGTGAATCTATATGAACATATAGGCCTCAGAGTGGTTTGCAACTCTCACGCATGCTATATAAAGCCTTCAAATGTTGTAGAGCGTCATGCAACAGCCCAGGAAACATGTGAGATTGTGACTGTCATATACACACTTCGGTTCCTGTTAAAGGTGTCACCCTCAAAGACCAAAAGATTTGGCATATTTTTAGGCCTAGTATGAGATGTTGAGACTTTTTGCTTAAATACCTTCCCATGGGTACATTGTGACATATTGCTGAGTTAGAATAATTATATGACTCTCCTGCCTGTACCCTGCCAACCTGGGATATTATCACATATCTCTGGGCACATAAGCTGGATTACTTGTCTCTCCTGCCTGTGCCCTGCCCTGCAGGATATTGTGAAATATTGTTTGGCCAAACCTTTATGTCATGTGACTCTCCTCCTGGCCAGGGTCCTGCTCACTAAAAAACATGTGACATGCTGCTTATTGCAAAACCTAGGTGATATGGCTCTCCTTCATATTCCAGACTCAGCCAAAAGATACATTATTACATACTACAGAGCCCAGAACCTAGGTGGAGTAACTCTCATTTTATACTTATTCCCTGTCTATAGCAGACTTGGTGACATATTATTTGAGGCTGTACCCAGGTTGTGTGATTTTTCTGACTAGGCCTATCCTACAAATGAGATTATACTGTATTACTGGCTCAGCACCTAGATAATATGACTCCCCTGCCTTGTCCCTGCTCACAGGTGAAATTGTGACATATACAAGGTTAAGCACACATACACAATAATAACTCTCATAACTGGACCAACCCAGTAGAAATATTTTAACACTCTGGGTTAAGCACACATGCACAACAACTTTCATACCTGGACCCAGCCAGTAGCGATATTTTGACTCTCATAGCCAGTCTCAGGTCCTTGGGTAAAGCCGTGGAATTTTTACTAGTATAAAGTTCATGAAGAATTATAAGACTCAGGTATATCATGTAAAACCTTAAAACACATGAAAAAATTCTAAGCAAGAATACTATATCCAGCAATAGTATCCTTCAAAATAATAATAAAAAAACTAACTACATCATGATATATATCACGATCTAACTATGGCTTCAAGAGACTCACTTCAGAGCTAATTAAAAAAAATAAACTGAAAATGCCAGGATGAAAAATAAATTCCATGCAAGCATTAACAAAATGAAATGAGAAAAGGTTACAATATTAAGTTGACAACTGTCATATTTAATAAAATTTACTTTTAGTCAAATTTTACAAGAGACACAGTAGGACATTCAATTATAATAAAAAGGTTCATTCACTGAGAACCTATAAATATATTACTGTTTTCCCAAACACATGAAGGAAACATTGACAGAATTGATGCCAAAATAGACAGTAATATAATAATGGATGCATACATCAATATCTCACTTTCAGTAAAAAATAAACAAGGCAGAATATTAATAAGGAAACAATAATTGAAGGCACTATACAATAACTGCACTTAATAAATGTATACAGACAACAGAATACACATCCTTTTCAATAGCTTATAAAACATTTTCCTACACGGACCACCTGTGACACCACAAAAGAAGCCTTAACAATTTTTTAATTGAAATTTTACAATTATTTACAGCCCAAATGGAATGAAGCTAGAAATCAGTAAAAGAAGAAAAGCTGAACAATTTAAAAAATAAAATATTAAAATACACAGTTTTTCTTTCTTTTTTAAAATTTCTTTATTGATGGAGTATCACTCTGTCACTAGGTTGGAGTGCAGTGGCACAATCTCAGTTCACTGCAGCCTCCAGTTTCTGGGGACAAAGCATTCTTCTGCTTCAGTCTCCCAAGTAGTTGGAACTACAGGCAGGAAAAACCACACCCAGTGAATTTTCTGTATTTTAGTAGAGATGTGGTTTTACCATTTTGCCCAGAATTGTCTTAATCTCCTGATTTCTCCATGCATCATCCTCAGACTCTCAAAGTGCTGGGATTACAGTCATGAGCCACCATGCTCTGCCAACAACACACTTTTGAGTAGGCTTTTTTTCAAGGGTTGGAAGAAATAATATTGTGAAGATGTCCATGTACTTAAAGTGACTCAATGCTCAACATATCCCTTTTTAATTTTAATTATATTTTTCAAAAATAGAAAAAAATAAAAGGATCTCAAGGTACTATGAAAAGTGTGACAATCTTGAAAAATAAGAAAAATATTGGAAGCCCTACACTTAACAATTTTCACACACACACAAAATCCTACAGTAACCAAAGCACTTTGGTAGGGCTGTAAAGGTAGAACACCAAAGTAATGAAACAGAATGCAGCACAGAAATAAACCCTTGAGTGCGGAAGGGAGACATACCATCTAAGTTTTCATTCAATCATATGTCACAATTCCTTTGGTGAACAGTTCCCAGGCAGGGGAGGTGAATTCCATTACCTAGATGCTAGTTTCAGTGATATCTCAAAATGTCCTCACACCTGTAATCCCAGCATTTGGGAGGCTGAGGCAGGTAGATCATAAGGTCTAGAGTTCAAGAACCATATGGCCAAGATGGTGAAACCCCATCTCTACTAAAATCACAAAAAATTAGCCAAGTGTGGTGGCAGGCTCCTGTAATCCCAGCTAATTGGGAGGCTTGGGCAGGAGAATCCCTTGAATTCATAGGGCAGAGGCTGCAGTGAGCTGAGATCGTGCCACAGCACTCCAGCCTGGGTGACAGAGTGAGACTCTTTGTGGCCTACGTGATCATATGGACTCACAATCTTACATATTGTCCTAAACTTACACTTGGATTCAGCCAATAGGAGATATTTGGCTTTCATCACTAGGCATAGGGCAATAGGTAAGGTCCTTGGTTACATATTTGTAGAAAGCTCACAGAACTTTACAACACTAACTCATAATGTATGAGTTCCTTGATTGGTACAGAGAGTTTCATGACAGGGACCAGCAAAAAGTTCAGATTGGGACTTTCAATTACATTCCCAGGTAAAAGCAAATGTTGTCCAAAGCTTTGGACATGTCCATCCCACATGTCCAAAGCCCACTTTTAACATCCTGAATCTAACAAGTGAATACAGTACAAAGTTAGCATTTTGACCTTCATATGTGGATCTGGCCACAAGTGGGATGATGACTCATTTATGTGTCCAGCTCATAGGCATGATAATGGGTCCCATACCTAAAACCAGCCTACATAAAAGATGTGTACTATTATACCGGGGTTTAGGGAAATACATAAGATCATGAATCTCTATGAGCATGTAGGCTTCAGAGTGGTGTCCAACCCTGATGCGTGCTGTATAAAGCCTTCAGGTGTTTTAGAGTGTCATACAATAGCCCCCAAAACACATGAGACTGTGACTCTTATATATACATGTAGCTCAATTTAATGGTGTCACCCACAAAGAGAAAAATATTTGGCCTATTACTAGGCCTAGTACCCAGGTGTTGAGAGTTTTTGGTTAATTTTTTTTTCCCATGGGTGCATTTTGACATATTGCAGGGTTAGAATCATAATCATGTTACTTTTGCCTGGACCCTGCAAACAGGGGATATTATCACTTATCTCTGAGTGTATGAGATAGGTGATTTATCTCTCCTGCCTGTACCTGCCCCCAGAGAACATAGTGAAATATTGTTTGTCCAAACATCTTGGTCATGTGACTCTCCTCTCCTTCCTGGGTGCTGCTCACCACAGATGTGGTGACATAGCACTGATTGTAAAACCTAGCTTATGTGACTCTCCTTCATATCCTAGACTGTGCCAAGAGATGGAATTATTGCATATTGCAGAGCTCAACATCTAGATGATTAGGCTCTTCTGACTAGGCCCAGCCTACAAATGAGATTTTATTGTGTCACTGGCTCAGCACCCAGGTTATATGGTTCTCTTACCTTATCTCAGCTCACAGGTGAAACTGTTACATACACCTGGGTTAAGCACACATGCTCAATAATAACTCTCTTTTCTGGACCCAGCCAGTAGAGATATTGTGACTCTCATAGACAGTCTCACTGCCATGGGTAAAGTCCTGGGTTTTTCACTTCAGTAAAGTTCACAAAGGATTATAATGCTCTGGTATGTCATATAAAGCTTTATTGGTACAGAGTGTCATACTAGAGAACAGCAAGCAGATGAGAATGTGACCCTTTTATGCACACCTAGCTGATGCGATTCTCATTCTCACACATAAACAGGGCCTAGGAATGTGGTACTAAATCTCACACATAAAAAGCAGTCAAAGGTTGACATAATTACTATAATACATGGGTCTGATTCGCAGGTGGTTTGGTAACATTTGAAACATGATTCACACACTTGCGATGCTGTGACTCTCCTACTGGATCACAATATTCAAGTAGGATTGAGGTTCTTATACATGATCTCGCCCATGGTTGGGATTGTGTCTTCCCTACTTCGACCCAACCCATAGAAAGAGTTAACTTAAATACACAAAACCAGGATTCGTGTGGGATAAAAAACATTTCTGAATGTTTCTGGGAGTGTGATTGGCACAAGTAAATTTGCCTAGCATATGAATAATTTGACTATCTCTTCTAGGTCCAGGCCACAGATGAAATTGTGCCATACCTGGAACAAGCACTAAACCAAGTATAACACCTTCCTTGGCTATGCCTACAAAATGGCACTTTTATATATCCCTGGGACCATCATCCCGATGAGGTGAATTATCCCCCTGAAACCTGCCTACAAAGAGAATTGGGTCTTATATCTAGATCCATCATGTAAGTGATGTGACAATCTTATACTGCCTTGGCCAAGAACTCTCAGTGCATTGTGACTCATAACTGGGCCCTGCACCTGGGTGACGTGATTCTACTTCTTGGGTTCTGCCAGCAGAAAGCATTGTAACGCATCACTTGGCTCAACACGTAGGTTATGTTTTTCTGCTTCAGCCTGTGCCTTGATTACAGGGACATTGTGACATATTGTTGGGACCAGCACCAATGTGCGGTCCTTCTCCAGTTTTGATACTGCACAGAACAGACACTGTGACATATGTCTAGGTCAGTTGCCTATGTGAAGTGAGTCTCCTCCTTTTCCAAAAGCCTGCCTACTGAGGGGTTTTTGATATGTCATTGAAACCAGCATCCAGGTGATGTGAATTTTCTATAAGGGGCTTCCCACAAGGGGGATTGTGACATCTCACAGGACCCACACCCATGTAGGTGATGTGACTTTCTTGCCTTCTGTGTGTCCACAGGTGATATTGCGCCATATATCTGAAACCATAACAAAAGCCTTATAACAATGTATATACTTGTAGTCAGAACATGTGCAAGATGATGACTTTTATTTTTAAACCTCTCCACAATTATAATTGTGTACACATACCTTTGACCAGCTCCAGAATTATTTGATAATTTTGCCAGGTATGGCCAAAAATGAGATTTTGACAAATACGTGGGCCAAGAACCTTGGTGATTTGACTGTGTTATTTTAACAAGGTCCTCAGGGGGGATTGTAATATAATTCTGGACCAGCCATGTAGGTTACGTGACTCTCCTCAACTGCCTGTAATCTGCTTCCTTTGGTAATTGTAGCATTTCTAAACACTGCATCCAAATGACATGACTCCTGGCTGGGCCCTGTTAACAGGAGGCATTCTAGCATATTTTGGGGCCCACCATTTAGGTGAACACTGTGCCACAGAACTGGACCTAGCACACAAGTTTTGTGACATTTCTGACAAAACACCAAGGCAAGGTTCAAAGGAATGATAATGACTGTCATATGGGGATTCAGCTAATAGAGCTTATTTTGATTCTTATAGCCAAGTTTAGGTACATGCATGATGTCCTGAATAATGTTCTTATACAAAAGTCACAAAAGATTACAACATTCACTCATATTTTATAGTCTTTGGGTTATACAGACAGAGTCAAAGCAGGGCTCAGAACACAGGTGAAATTGTGAGTCTTGTATGCATGCCCAGCTGACAGTAAAGACTGTCAACACCTCACATGGATAAAGCAAAATATCACACATGAAAACAGGATATGTGTGGTATTGTAAATTTTACCTTTGCAATTATCTAACACTGTGATTGTGGTATAAATACTTGCCAAGAACCTGTATAATTTGACTTTCCATACTTATTCCAGCCCAAATATGGGATTGTGATATCTAGCTAGGCCAACCTCAAGGTAATGTGACTCTCCTGCCTGGGCCATTCTCTAAGTAAGGATTGTGACATACAACTTTATCTAGCACCCAGGCAATGTTATATTCTTGCCTGGACCATGCCCACCAAAATTATTGTGTCATATTTCTGTGTCCCCTTCATAGGTGATGTAACTCTGCTTTCTGGGGTGGGCCATGCACAAAAGAAGGATAGTGACATATTTCAAGGCCAGGTACACCATTGAATGTATTATTTTGCCAGAGTCCTGTTCAAAGGAGGTCATTGTGACTTATATCTGGCCCTGTCACCTGGGTTGTATGGCTCTCCTGCTTGGGCCTTTCCAACCTGGAGTAACATATTTCTAGGCCAGGCACACAGTTGATGGTACTCTTTTGCCAGGGCTATGCTTCATAGAGGACATTGTGACATATATTGGGGCCTATCTTCTAGGTGAAGTGACTGCCTCCTTGGTCCCTACCCAAATAAAGCACTGTGGAGTAAGCAGAAAGCCTATACCTAGATGATGTAAATTTCTTTGCTCAGTGTTGTCCCAAGAGAGTCTTGTGACATATCCCAGGACCCATCACTCAAGTGATATGGTTCCTCTACCTGGTTTCTGCCCATGTGTTACATTGTGACATATTTCTAGGAAAGCACCTAGGTGATATGACTCTCCTCATCTGCCTGAACCTTGCCTACTGGAGACATTGGGACATATCTCTGAGCCCATGACCTAAGTGATGTGATGCTCTTTGTCTGCTTGGGCCTTCACAGCAGGAGGATTTTTACACATTGCTGAGCCCAGGATTCAGGATATGTGACTCACCTCTTTTTTTTTGATCCATGCCCACAAAATAAGTATTTTGTCTTATTGCATGGCCCAGCACTCAGATGATGTTACTCTTCTGCCTGGGTTCTGCATAAAGAGAAATTTATGGCATATTGCATATTGCTGGGCTCAGCACCCTTATGATGTGTCTCTCCTGCCTGTACTGGAGCCACTGAAGGTTTTTTGACATATCTTGGGCCCATTATATACATGTTTTGGCTCTCATAACTTGGCTGGATTTTTTTCTGCATGTGGGATGGTGTCATATCGCTGGGTCCAGCACCCAGTTAATGGGCCCAACTTCCTATACCCTGCCTAGAGAAGGCATTGTGACACAGCATCACATGTGACACATGTGACAGAGCATCTGTGTGATGTTACTCTCCTGCCTAGTTTTATGCCTATAAATGGGATTATGACATACACCTTGCTTCATTTCTCAGGCATGATGATCAAACTTATATTTGGATTCAGCCAATAGGAGATATTTCACCTCTCATTGCTAAGCTGAGTGTACCTATTGGTAAACTCTTGGGTTGCCTATTTGTTCCAAGCTGACAGAAGCTTGCAACAGTAACTGATATTGTATAAACTCTTTGTTGATAGAGTTTCATAATAGGACCCTGCAAAAAGTTTAGATTGGGACTGTCAGTTATGAACCCAGGTGAAATTAAAAGTTTTCACCATCCCACATTTACAGTGCCCACTTTTGAGGTCCTGAGTGTAACAAGGAAATATAGCAGAGTCAGAATTGTGACTTTTATGTGTTCATCTGGCCACATGTGGAATGACAACTCATTTCTGGGCCCAGACATAATAATGGGTCTTCCCCCTTAACCCTGCCTATAGGAGAGATGTTGACTAACCAGGGTTTAGGACAATATGTAAGATTGTGTGTCCATATGAGCACGTAGGCCTCAAAGAGTCTCACTCTGTCACCCAGGCTGGAGTGCAGTGGCACAGTCTCAGCTCACTGCAACCTCTGCCTTATGAGTTCAAGAGATTCTCCTGCCTAAACCTCCCAATTAGCTGGGATTACAGGAGCCTGCCACCGCACTCGGCTAATTTTTTTTTGTATTTTTAGTAGAGACGGGGTTTCACTGTTTTGGCCAGGTGGGTCTTGAACTCTTAACCTTATAATCTATCTGCCTCAGCCTCCTAAATTCCTGGGATTGCAGGTGTGAGCCCCCATGTCCTGCCCATTCATGCAGGTTTTATAAAGCTCTTGGTTGTTGTAGGGAGTGTCATACACTGACCCAGCTCACATGTGAGATTGTGACTCTAATATACACTGTCTGCTAAAAGTTAAAGGTGTCAGCCTCAAAAATGTTGAGATTGTGTCATGTCAATGGGCCTAGTATCCAGGTGTTGTGAGATTTTGGCTCTATTTTTTTCCCATGGCTGCATTATTACATATCTCTGGGTCAGAATAATAATAATGTGACTCTGCTGCCTGGGCCATATCAACAGGGGATATTATCACATATATCTGGGCCTATCAGCTAGGTGATATGTCTCTGCAGCCTGTGTCCTGCCCCCAAGGACATTTTAAAATATCGCTGAAACTAGCATCTAGGTAATGTTATTCTCCTCCCCTGCCTGGTACTGTTCACCAAAGGAATTGTGATATACGATTGATTGCAAAACCTAGATGGTATATCTCCCTTCTGCACTCAAGGGTTTATTTCTGTGCTGCATTCTGTTTCATTACTTTGGTGTTCTACCTTTACAGCCCTACCAAAGTGCTTTGGTTATTGTAGGATTTTGCGTGTGTGTGAAAATTGTTAAGTGTAAGGCTTCCAATATTTTTCTTATTTTTCAAGATTGTCAGGCTTTTCATAGTCCCTTGAGATCCTTTTATTTTTTCCATTATTGAAAAATATAATTAAAATTAAAAAGGGATATGTTGAGCATTGGGTCACTTTAAGCATATGGACATCTTCACAATATTATTTCTTCCAACCATTGAAAAAAAGCCTACTCAAAAGTGTGTTGTTGGCAGAGCATGGTGGCTCATGACTGTAATCCCAGCACTTTGAGAGTCCAAGGATGATGCAAGGAGAAATCAGGAGATAGAGAAAATTCTGGGCAAAATGATAAAACCGCATCTCTACTAAAATACAGAAAATTAGCTGGGTGTGGTGGTACATGCCTGTAGTTCCAGTAACTTGGGACACTGAAGAAGAAGAATCCTTTGTCCCCGGAAACTGGAAGTTGCAGTGAACTGAGATTGTGCCACTGCACTCCAACCTAGTAACAGAGTGATACTCCATCAGAAAAGAAATTAAAAAAAGAAAAAAAACTGTATTTTAATATTTTATTCTTTAAATTGTTCAGCTTTTCTTCTTTTACTGATTTCTAGTTTCATTCCATTTGGTCTGTAAATAACTGTAAAATTTCAATTAAAAAATTGTTAAGACTTCTTTTGTGGTGTCACAGATGGTCTGTGTAGGAAAATGTTTTATGAGCTATTGAAAAGGATGTGTATTCTGTTGTCTGTATACATTTATTAAGTGCAGTTATTTTATAGTGCCTTCAATTATTGTTTCCTTATTAATATTCTGCCTTGTTTATTTTTTACTGAAAGTGAGATATTGATGTATGCATCCATTATTATATTACTATTTTGGCATCAATTCTGTCAATGTTTCCTTCATGTGTTTGGGAAAACAGTAATATATGTATAGGCTCTCAGTGAATGAACCTTTTTATTATAATTGAATGTCCTACTGTGTCTCTTGTAAAATTTGGCTAAAAGTAAATTTTATTAAATATGACAGTTGTCAACTTAATAAATTGTAGCCTTTTCTCATTTCATTTTGTTAATGCTTGCATGGAATTTATTTTTCATCCTGGCATTTTCAGTTTCTTTTTTTTTTATTAGCTCTGAAGTGAGTCTCTTGAAGCCATGATGTGATTAAATCTTGATATAGATCATGATGTAGTTAGATTTTTTTATTATTATTTTGAAGGATACAATAGCTGGATACAGTGTTTTGCTTAGACTTTTTTTAAAATGTGTTTTAACTATGTCAATCTCTTCTCTTTTTGCCTGAAATATTTTTGTTCTTTTATTTTGTTTTGTTTATTTCCATTTTACTCTCTGAGTATCATTGAGATGGTAATTTTGATTGTTTAGGATAATTTATTTTTTTCTTTTAAAACATAGATCTATAATTTAAATCTGATTGTCTCAAGTAATTTTCCCATCTTAATTTTGAATAATTGATTCTTGAATATTTATTTTTATTTTTGCTTGAGTCACATTACCCTGATGTTCAGTATATTCTGTAATTTTTTTTTTTTTTTTTTTTTTTTTTTTTTTTTTTAAGATAGAGTCTTGCTCTGTCGCCCGGGCTGGAGTGCAGTGGTGTGATCTCGGCTCACTGCAAGCCCCACCTCCTGGATTCACGCCATTCTCCTGCCTCAGCCTCCTGAGTATCTGGGAGCACAGGCACCCACCACTATGCCGGCTAATTTTTTTTTTTTTTGTATTTTTTAGTAGAGATGGGGTTTCCCTGTGTTAGCCAGGATGGTCTCGATCTCCTGATCTCGTGATCCTCCCATCTCAGCCTCCCAAAGTGCTGGCATTACAGGCATGAGCCACCGCACCCGGCCTGTTATATGTTGTAATCTTAGGTTGCAATTTATATAATAAAAAGCCACATGTCAAATCTTTATTAAGTGTCTTTTGTCTTGAAAAATAAGCTACCAAGTTTTATCCTAGAGATTCTTGGAGTCTCTCAAGCCTGTTCCCCTGGGCCTGTGTGTTTTTTAGTTAAAAAATTTTCCTCATTTTTTTCTTATTTTTATGTATGTAGGTAGGTATGTATGTATGTATGTATTTATTTATTTAGTTTTGAGTTGCTTTTTCACTCTTGTTGCCCAGCCTAGAGTGCTATGGTGCAATCCTGGCTTACTGCAAACTCCACTTTCCAGCTTCAAGCAATTCTTCTTCCTCAGCCTGCTAAATAGCTGGGATTACAGGCAGACTGCCACCACACCTGGCCAATTTTTGTATTTTTGTTAGAGACCAGTTTCACCATGTTGACCTGGCTGATTTTGAATTTCTGACCTCATGTGATTCTCTCACCTCAGTCTCCCAAAGTGCTGGGATTACAGGCATGAACCACTGCTCCTGGCCATTCTTCATATTTCTTATTAAGGTCTTGTAGTCAGATGTTATTTCCATTGTCTATCAATGATAGTGACATCTTCCTTCTCTTGTGACAGTCATTTACATTTGGTTTTAGCTGTCCAAAAGTATCAAAGAGCACCACCTTTCTTTTCAATACTGTCATGAAATATAGAAATTAGTCTTTAGTAAGGTCACAAAGAGCCAGGAGCATTGACAAAGATGCCACAATTTTACTTATTTTTGGATGGGTAAGGCAGAAGTTAGGAGTTTATATTTATACTCATAATAGGATGAAGAATAGCAAAGGTTTAACTGGTTCTTAGACTTTTCACAATGACATTTTGGTCAGTATATTTCTGTTAAGTTTATATGTCTATAAAGGAATTAGAACCTGTGGTGTTTTAGTGTCACCTAGTTAACGTGTTTTGTATAATTATACATTTGTAAAATGTATTAATCTGTGTCTCATGATGGGAGAGTTATGTTCTTTTTTTTTTTTTTTCAGCTGACTCTTTTCGTTTTCCTGCAGAGATATTGCTGGAGCATGACATATAAGATTCATTTCAAAAAGTGAATCTGAGAAAATATAGAAGCTGTGACCTTAATAGTTTACATTAAAAAAAAAAAGACTACCAAAGTGTGGATAATTGCAAGGGGCAGAAGAGCAGTTATAATGGCCTTCATCAATGTTTGTCAACTACCCATAGCAAAACCTGTCAATGAAATAAATGTGGCAAAGCTTTTGAGTTGTGCTCAGTCTTTACTGAACATAAGAAAATTTTCAGCATAGAGAAATGCTACAAATGTGAAGAATGTGGCAAAGACTGTAGGTTGTTCTCAGATATTACTATACAGAAGTGAATTCATACTGCAGAGAGATGCTACAGACATCAACAATGTGGCAAAGCCTGAAAATATCTCAAATGTTACTGAATATAAGAGAGCTCATGCTGGGATATCTAACAAATGCAATGAATGTGGCAAAACATTTACCTGCTCCTCAACCTTTATTAAACAAAGAGAAATCATACTGGAGACAAACCCTACATATGCGAAGAATGTGGCAAAGCCTTTAAGTGCTTCTCTGACCTTACTAATCAAAAGAGAAATTATACTGGAGGGAAATCTTGCAAATGTGAGGAATGTAGCCTATAGGTTGTTCTCAGAACTTGCTAAATATAAGATAATTCACACCGGGGAGAAACTCTACAAACGTGAAGAATGTGATGAAGACTATAGTTGCTTCTCAGACCTTACTAAACATGATAATTCATAGTGGAGAGAAACCTTACAAATGTATTGAATATAATAAAAGCTTTTATGTGGTTCTCAGCCCTTAGTAAACACAAGTGTACATCTGTGAAGAACATAACCATACATCTGTGAAGAATGTGGAACTGCCTTTACCTGCTTCTTCACCCTTATTAACCACAAGAGAATTAATATGGAAAAGAGACCTTCTGAATGTGGAGAATGTGGCAAAACCTTTAAGTGCTTCTCAGACATTACTAATCATTAGATAATTCACACTGGAGAAAAACCCTACAAATGTGAAAAATGTGGCACAGCATTGAGTTTTTCTCACACCTCATTAGAGAAAAGAGAATTCATACTAGAGAGTAGATTTACAATTGTTAAAAATGTGGAAAGTCTTTAACAAGTTCTCATACTGTGTTCAACATCAGAGTCTTCATACCGAACAAATGCAGTATAAAGGTAATGACTGTTAATTCCATGGCAGAAGGCCCAAACCAGAGAACTGGCCAGACAGTTCTGTTGCACCTAAGCAGCATGTGCACTTTTCCAAGCACATCTCATTCCCTTCCTGACTCCAATTATTTCAACAGCACCTTCTCATTTGCACCAGCCCATTTTTGAGCCCCAACAAACTATGATTTTGAAATACCTCTGAAGACCGCATGAGCTAACCACTAAGGGTGACAGTGCTCTAGCCTACTCAATTTCACCTGAGGGCAGAAACAAGGCAGGAGAGTCTTGTCACCTGGATTCGGTGCTTAGGATACTTTACAATCTTCTTTGGATGCATGGCCAAGTCAGAAGGGTAACATCATCTGGGGACAGACTCAAGTAATATGGCACCACGTCTATGGTAGAAAAGGTTGAAGAAAAACAGGAGAATCACATCACCTAGGTGTTGGGCTTAGCAATATGAAATAATCCCCTCTTTTGGCCAACTCCAGAATAAAGAAGTGTGTTGCATTACCTAGGTTTTGCCCTCAGTGGTATGTCACAATTCCCTTAGTTGGCAGGATCTGGCTGGAGAGGAGAGTCACATTTTCTAGATGCTACTTCCAGAGATGTCACAATGTTCCTTGGGGGGGCAAAACACAGACAAAATAGAAAAATCACCTAGCTAATAGGCTCAGAGATGTGTTATAATATCCCTCATTGGCAGGACCCGGGAAGAAGAGTCGCATTCTTATAATTCTGACCCAATAATATGTAAAAATGCACACATGGGTAACAATTTAAGCAAAAGTTTTAACACCCTGATAGTTGGCCCAGTGATATGACACAATCTCTTCATTTTAGAGGCTGACAATTTTAACTGTGAACTTAGTATGTATACGAGTCACAATGTCACATGCATGCTGGGCCATTGTATGAAACCCTCTACAGCATCTGAGGGCTTTATACATCATGGATGAGAGTTGCAAACTACACTGTGACTCACAGGCTCATATGTACTCACAATGTTATATATTGCCTTAAACTGAGATATGATAGTCAATTTCTCTCATTTAGGCTGAGTTCCAGAGTGAGACTTTTTTTTTTTTTTTTTTTTTTAAGAGGGAGTCTCACTCTGTCACTCAGGCTGGAGAACAGTGGCACAGTGGCACAATCTCCACTCACTACAACCTCCACTTTCCAGGTTCAAGTGACTCCCCTGCCTCAGCCTCCCAAGTAGCTGGAATTACAGGTGCCTGCCAACATGCTCGACTAACTTTTTGTACTTTTAGTAGAGCGAGGTTTTCACCATATTAGCCAGGATCATCTCATTATTTTGACCTCATGATCTGCCCACTTTGGCCTCCCAAAGTGCTGGGATTACAGGAGTGAGCCACCCTATGCCTGTAACCTCAGGATACATGATAATGTTCAAAAATCAGTCACTATCACACCTGTGGCCAGATCCACATATAAGAGTCAAAATTCCATCTTTATTCTGTTTTCCCTAGTGAAACTCAGTACTTCAACAATGAGCTTTGTAAATGTGGGATTCCTGTAACTTTTACTCTTAACTGGGTGTGTCATTGATGATGACAATTATAATTTTTTGTGGGGCCTTGTTATGAAACTCTCTGTACCACCCAAGCAGTTTGTAGAATAAGAATTAGCGTTGTAAATTTCTGTGAGCCTTCTACAAAAATGCAACCCAGGATTTTACCTATTCCATTAGCCTAGTGACAAGGGACAAAATACCTTCTATTAGCTGAATCTCAATATAAGTTTGACCATCATGCATGTGAACTGAAGCAAGGTATATGACATAATCCCATTTGTGAGCAAAAACTTAGAACAAAGAATAAAATAGCTTAGGTGATGTGGCAAGCAACATGTCACAATGCCCTCACTCGGTAAAACCTAGGAAGGAGAGTCACATTAACTGGGTGCTGGACTGATTAATATAACACAGTTCCACATGTGAAAAACTTAGCCAAGGGATGAGAGCCAAAACCTACAGCATGGGCTGGAGATATGTCAGAATACTCTCTGTGGCTCTGGCACAGGCCAACCAGTAGCATCGTCAGGATGCTGCTCCCACCAGTATGTAAAAATTCCCTCTTTATACAGGACTCTGGCAGAACAGTAACATCATCTGGGTGCAGTAGGTCAAAATTTTCGTTTGTGGGCATAATTCAGAAAAAAGAGTAGAGTCACATAAACTAAGCTAGGCTCAGCAGACCTAAGCTGCTCAGGCAGACAAGGAGAGTCCTATCAGCTAGGTGCTTCCCTAGGAATATGTCACATTATAACATGTGGGCAGAAATCAGGCAAAAGAGCCACATCACTTGGTTGCTGGGTCATGAGATATGTCACAAGGCTCTTTTAGAACAGCACCCAGGCAAATATAGTTACATCACCCTGGTGCAGGTTCTGTGCTTAAGCCTACAATATGTGTAGGGCTTAAGGAGGGAGTCAGTTCACTTAGGTGATAGGCCCTGAGACCTATCACAATGTCCATTATGAAGCATAGCCCTGGCAAGAGTACCCTTACCTGTGTTCCTAGCCTAGAAATATGTCACTCTCCAGGTTGGCAGGGAAAAAACAGGAAAGCCGCATATCCTAAGTGATAGGCCCAGAGATATGTCATAATGTCCTCCATTGGTCATGGCTATGGGAAAAAATACCCTCACCTTTGTGCCTGGCCTTACATTATGTCACTATCCTCCCTTTGTACAGAATCCATTCCAGAGAAGAGAGTTATATCTCCTATGAGGTGGACACAAAAATATGTCACAACAATTTTTTGCTCATGGTGCAGGCAAGAATGTAAGATCACTTGGGTGTTAGATCCAGTAATACAACAGAATCCTTACTGGGAGAAGAGCCCAGGCAGGAGTGTCACATCACCTCAAGGTTCATCTAGGTAGATATCACATTCCCACATATGGACTGGAACAAGTCTGAAGAGTCAAATTACAAAGGTGCTTCACAAAGATTTATATGACAGTCACACTGTCAGAAATTTCACACATGAAATTTGCAACACTATACATGTCCTCTTTTCATGTCTGACAGTTGGCTTCATCCATGTAATATTATGACAGTCTTGACTGTCAGTTGGGTTTGTATAAAAGACTCACAATTTCATCTCTGTGCTGAGCCCTGATTTGACTCTGTCTTTATAACCAGAAGACTTTGTAAAATAAGTGTCAATATTGTAATCTTTTATGACCTTCGAACCAGGAGGTAATCCATGACATCTCACATTTTCATAAACCTAGTTATAAGAGTCAAAATAGCCTCTACTGGCTTTATTCCAATATGAGACTCATTATCATTCCTGTGAGCCATGCCTAGGTATATGTCACAATGCCCTCTGTTGTTATGAAGAAGGCAGAACAGCCACATTACCTAAATGCTGGGACAGGAATATTTCTATATTCTCTTTGTAGACACATAGCTTGTGTGCTAATTCCAGCTCTGTGGCATAATGTCCTTTGTGGGCAGTGTCCAGGCAGAGGAGGAGAGTCATATCACCTAAATGATGGACACAAAAATATGTCACAATGTTCCTGTTGATAATGCCCAGGCAAGAAAGTCATACCATTTGGATGCAGTTTTTAGAAATGGTACAATTACTAAAATAAGCAAGGTACAAGCAGGTTTGCAGGGTCACGTAACCTAGACAATTGGTCCAGATGTACGTTACAATCCTTCCTGAGGACATTGTTAAGATGACAGAGTCAAATCACAAAGGTGCTTGGCATAGGCGTTTGTCAAAATCTCATTTGTGGGCTATACCTAGACAAAATTATTAAATCATTCAGGAGCTGTGCAAAGGTAAATGTCACAATTACACTTATGGAAAAATTTCAGAATAAGGCTCACAATCCTGCACATGCCCTGGCTTCAGGCATATGAATTGTTATTTGGCTTCTGCTGTGGTCTCACATATGACACAATAACACCTGTGTCCAGAGACAACAAATGAAAGGTTACATCACCATAGGGTTTTTGGGTCCAGAGAAACAATACAATCCTCCTAGTGTGCAGGACCCTTGCAGAAGAGTCACATAATCTGGATGCTGGTTTCAGTTACATCAAAACTCCCAGTGTAAGCAGGACTTTGGCAAAAGAGGAGGTTCATTTCACCTAGGCAATTGGCCTAGGTATATGTCGCAATGACCCTTTTATGCAGTAGCAAGGCTGGAGAGTGACCTCACGTTGTTACTAAGCCCAGCAACATATCACAGTCTCCCTGTGGTGAGGACACAGCCAAAAGCAAAAAACAAAACAAAACAAAAATCACCTAGGTGCTAATCCATGTGATATGCTACAATGCTTCCTGTGGACAAAACTCAAAATAGAGAATCACATCACGCGGGTGAAGTGCACAGTTACATGTCAAAATGCACTGTAAGTGCAGGGCCAAAGAACTAGAAGGGAGTCACTTCACTTATGTGAAGGACCTACATATAAGAAGCAATTCTCTTTGTAGGCAGGTTTCAGGATGATAATTCACACCACCTTGGTAATGGTCCCAGTGATATATGAAAGTGTCCTTTGTTGGCAGAGCCAAGGAAGTTGCTATATATTGCTTAGGTGCTTGTTCCTCATATGGCACAATTTCATCTGTTGTCTGGGCCTAGAAAAGACGGTCAAATTATTCATGTCCTGGGCAAAGTTACCTGACTCAAACACACTCTCAGAAAGTTCAAAAATAAGTTTCACATTCCACACAAGTTGTGTGGTTTTGTGTATGTGAGTCAACTCTTTCTATGAGTTGGGTTGAAGTATAGGAGTCAGTCTCAACAATCGGCAAGATCCATCTATAAAAACCTCAATCTGACTGTAAGATTTTGTTCCCACAGGGAAGTCACAGCACCACAGCTGTGCTGAATTATGGTTCAAATGTTACCAAACCACCTCTGAATCTGATCCATGTATGAAAGTAATTATTTCAATCTTTGACTGCTTTATATATGTTAGATTTAATAACTCATTCCCAGGCCATGTTCATGTGTGAGAATGACAATCGTTTCAGCTGGGTGTGCATACAGGAGTCTCATTCTCACCTCACTGCTGGTGTCTGTTATGACACTCTTTTTATCATCAATGCTTTTTATGATACACCTGAGTGTTATAATCATTAGTGAACTTTATACAAGTGAAAAACACAGGACTTTACCCATGACAGTGAGAGTGAGTGACTATGGCAGTAAAAATAAAACTGCTGGCTGAGTCCAGGTATGAGAGTTATTATTGTGCATGTTTGCTTAAACCAGAAATATGTCACAAGTTCACCTGTAAGCAGGGGCAAGGCAAGAGAAGCACATCATCTGGGAGCTGAGCCAGTGATACAGTATAATCTAATTTTGAGGCTGGGTCTATTCAGAAGAATCACAACACCTGGGTGCAGCTTCAAATAGTATGTTACTAAGCCCATTATAGAAAGGGAAGAAGAAAGAGAGAAGAGCCACTCAGCCTATTTACTGGGCTCTGCAATATGTAATAAACCTCTCTTTTGGGTAAGTCTAGAATAAGAAGGAGAGTCACATCACCTAGATTTTTCAATAATCAATATGTCACAATTTCCTTAGTTATCAGGACCGAGGCAGTAGAAGACAGTCACATTACCTAGGAGTTAAGTCAAACAATATTTCACAATGTCCTTTGAGGGCACAGAACAGGCAGCAGAGATAAATCGTCTAGCTTACAGGGCCAGAGATAAGTGATAATATCCCCTGTTGGTGGGGTCCAGGCAGAAGAGTCACATTATTATTACTCTAACCCAACGATATGTCACAATGTACCCATGGGAAGGAATTTAAGTCAAAAATTCTCAACACCTGGGTATTAGGCCTAGGAATATGACAAATCTCCTTGTCTTTGATGGTGACACCATTAAATGTGAGCTTGGTTTGTATATGAGAGTCACAATCTCCCATGATTCCTGGGCCATTGTATGACACTATGCAAAATTTAAAGGCTTTATACAGCATGCATGAGGGTTGCAAACCACTCTGAGACCTACATGCTTGTATGGATTCACAATCTTGGCTATTGCCCTAAACACAGGCATAATAGTCAACATCTCTTCTGTAGGCTCTTTTCAGGAATAGTACTCATTATTATTCCTGTGAGCTGAATTCAGAAGTGAGTCACAATCTCATCTGTGGCCAGATCCACATATGAATGTCACAATTACAGGTTTATATTTTATTCACTTTTTAGACTCAGGACTTGAATAGTGTGCTTAGGTCATGTGGGATGGGGAGAATATTTGCTTTCATCTGGGAGTGTAATTGAGAGTCCCAATCAAAACTTTTTGCTGCTGCCTGTCATGAAAGCCTCTGTACAACCCAAGGAGTTTATATATTATGAGTTAGTATTGTAAAGTTTTGTAAGCATGGTACAAATATGCAACTCAGGACATTATCTATTCCACTAAGCCTAGTGATGAAAGGCAACATATCTTCTATTTGCTGAATTTCAGTACAGGTTTGACAATTATGCCTGTGAACTAATTAAGGTATATGTCATATTTCCATCTGTGGGCAAAAAAATAGGTAGAAGGGTAACATCACTTAGGAGTTGTGTTAAGCATCATGTCAGAATACCCACTCTAGGCAGATTATAGGAATTAGAGTCACATTAAATGGGTGTTAGATTCAGCAACATGAACCATCCAACATGTGAAAAACAAACAAACAAAACAAGCAAACAAACAAACAAAACAGCCAAGGGATGAGAGTCAAAACACCTACATAATGGGCATAGAATATGGCAAAATACCTTCTGTGGCTCTGGCACAGGCATGACGGTCACATTATCCAGGTGCTGAGCCCAGCAGTATGCCATAATTCTCTCTATATGCTGGAACCAGGCAAAAGAGTATCATTATCTCAGTGCTGGGCTCTGCAATAAGTCAAAATTTCTGTTTGTGGGCATGGTTTGAGAAAAAAATGAGAGTCAAATAACCTGAGTGCTAGGCTCAGATATATGTCACAATTCCCCCAGTGCAAAGACCAGGCAGAAGAAAAGAGCCATTTCATGTATGCCATGGGCTCAGAGATGTATCCCAATGTCCCCAGTAGGCAGGGACAGCCTAAAGTAATAGATCACCATGCCCAACGTAGATGGGTTAAAGGAAAAAAAAAAAGAGAATTACATCACCTGGTTGCTGCACTTAGCAATATTTAATAATTCTTTCTCGGCAGAGTTCAGGACAAAGAAGAGAAGCATGTCACCTAAGTTTTGCACTCAATCGTGCGTTACAATGAAGATATGTGAAAATAGCCCCTGTTTCCAGGGCCCAGGCAGAAGACACATATTATCATGATTTTGACCCATAATGCCCTTATAGAAAGGAATTTAAACAAAAAAGACTGAACGCTGGGGTACTAGATCAAGAGATATGACACAATAGCTTCATCTTTAAGAGTGACATCATTGTTAGTTGTGAATATAAGCGTCACAATCTCACGTGTGTGCTGCCCATTGTGTGACACTCTCTACTACATCTGAGAATTTTATACAACATGCATGAGAGTTTCAAAACTCTGAGTTCTTCATGCTTATATGGACTCATGATCTCACATATTGCCCTAAACCCAGGTATGACAGTCAACATCTCTCCTATAGGCTGACTTCAGGGATGAGACCATCATTATGCCGTGAGCTTGGTCCAGAATGGGTCACCATCCCACCTGTGGCCAGATTCACTTCTGAAAGGCACAATTCCAACTTTGTGCTTTATTCAGTTGTTAGACTCAGGATCTCAACAGGGGGCTTGTTGGGGTCACAATCTTAACTTTTGGCTGCATCCTGTTATAAATATCTCTGTCCCACCCAAGAAGTTTGTATTATGTGAATAACTGTTGTAAACTTCTGTGAACTTTGTACACATTTGCAGTGAAGAACCTCACCTATTGACATAATCCTAGTGGTGAGAGGCAAAATATCTTCTATTGGCTGATTCCCAATATAAGCTTGATCATTATGTTTTGAACTGAAGCAAGGTGTATGTCACAATCCAATTTGTGGGCAAAAAATTAGGCACAGGGTTAACATCACTTAGATGCTCTGCCAAGCAATATACCACAATGTCTTCTCTAGGCAGAGCCTAAAAATTAGGCTCAAATTAACTGACAGCTTGAGCCAGAAATTTGATACAACCACATGTGGAAGAATACCAGCAATGTGATGAGAGCCAAAGCACTTACAGAATGGGACAAAGATATGTCAAAATACCTTCTGTGGCTCTGGTACAGAAAGGAGAGTCACATCATTAGCAGGTAGGCCAAGTAATATGCCATAATTTTCTCTTTATACATGTCCTAGGCAGAAGAGTAACATCATCCAGGTGCTGGGCCCTGAAATATGTCAAAAGTTCTGTTTGTGGGCCTTGTTCAGCAAGACGATGTGAGTCATATTACCTAAGTGCTAGGCTCATCAATGTGTCACAATATTCCCATTGTAAAGGCCCAGAAAGAATAATCATATCACTTAAGTTGTGGTCTCAGAGATATGGCCTAATGCAACCAGTAGGCATGGCTCAGGCAGAAAAAGACAGTCATATAACCTAGATGCTTCTTTAGGAATATGTCACAATTTAATATGTTGGAACAACCAGATAGAAAAGCCAAATCATTTCGTCCTGTGTCCTGAGATATTCTTAAGTCACCCTTAGAGAAGGACCCAGACGAGAGTTACATCACCTAGATGCAGGTTTCACCCTTATGTCACAATGATCTATGTGGCAGAACCAAGCAGGAAGTCACATCAACTAGGCCAGAGATATGTTGCAAAGCCCTCCTTAAAGCATGACCCTGATAAGGGTGCCATCACCTTTGTGCCTGGCCTAGCAATATGTCACTATTCAAGAGGGCAGGTCCCAAGAGGAAGAGCCATATCACCTACATGATAGGTTCCATGATATGTCAAAATGCCCTTTTTTGAGCATGGCACTTGCAAAAGAATATTGTGTGCCTGGCCTAGAAATATGTCTCCGTTCTGCCCTGTGTGCAGGACCCATTCCAGAGAGGAGAGTTATGTCTTCTAATTGATGGACACAGTGATATGTCACAAGGATGTCTGTGGGCATGGTGCAGGCAAGAATGTAACCTCACCTAAGTGCTGGATCTAGTGATGTCACTATTCTTACTAAGCAAGATACAGGCAGAAAAGTCACATCATTTCAATGTTGACCCAGGTAGATATCAAAATCCCATTTGTAGGCTAGATCCAGTCTGAAGAGTGAAATCACACAGGTGCTTGCCTTAGGTTTATATCACAAAGTGCTGGAATAATAGGCATTAGTCACCATGTCTGGCCTTTGAGTGCACCTCTGTGTGAGATTTAGTACCCTAATTGTACCTGTTCTTTTGAGAGAATAAAAATGGGGTCAGCTGGGTGTGCATCCAAGAGTCACAACTGCACCTGATTGTTGTTCCCTGTTATAACACTGTTTGTATCACTCTGGCTTTATATGGTATACCTGAGTGTCATAATCCTCTATGAAATTCATACAATTAAATGACCCATTACTTTACTTATTGCCATAAGACTGACTATGAGAGCCAAAATATCTCTCTGGGCCGAAGTATGATTGTTATATTAGTGCATGTGAGTTGAACCCAGCTATATGTCACAATTTCACCTGTGGGCAGAAACAAGGCAGGAGGGTCTCACCCCCTGGGTTCTGAGCTCAGGATACATTATTATCTTCTTTGCAGCCAGGACCAAGTTAGAAGCGTCACATCACCTGGGTACAGCCTCAAATAATATGGCACCATGTTCCCTGTAGACATAGTTTGAAGAAAAAGGGGAGAGTCACACCACCTTGGTGCTGGGCTCAGCAATATGTAGTAATCCCCTTTTTTGGAGAATCCATAATAAAAGGGAGAGTTGCATTAACTAGGTTTTGCACTCACCAGTATGTCACAATTAGTTTACGGGCAGGACCTAGGCAGGAGAGGAGAGTCACATTTCCTAGACGCTATGCCCACCAACATCACAATGCTACTTTTGGGCAAATCACAGGCAAAATAGACAAATGACCTAGCTGATAGGCTCATAGATATGTGGTAATATCCTTTGTTGGCAGGGCCAAGGCATGAGTCACATTATTATGATTCTGACCCAACAATATGTCACAATGCACACATGGGGAATGATTTAAGTAAAAGTTTAACACCTGGGTACTAGGCCAAGTGATATGCCACAATCTCCTCATCTTTGAGGGTGACACCTTTAACTGTTAGCTTGGCATGCATATGAGAGTCATAATGTCACATGTGTTCTGGGGCATTGTATGACACCCTTTCAACATCCGAGAAATTTTTATGACAAGCATGAGTGTTGCAAACTACTCTGAGGCCCACAAGCTCATATGGACTCACAATGTTAGATATTGCCTTAAAACCATGTATGATAGTCAAAGTCTCATATTTAGGCTGAGTTAAGGAATAAGACCCATTTTTATGCCTGAGTGCTGGCTCCATACATGAGTCACAATCAGACCTGTGACCAGATCCACACATGAGAGTCGAAATTCCACCTTTGTACTGTTTTCTTTTGTTAGATTCAGTACATCAACAGTGGGCTTTGTAAATGTGTGATGTGACAACTTACTAAAGACTAATTTCTATATTCTATGACAGTGTTAAGGGAAAGGTGGTATTCTTTGACAGTTTGGGGCAAGTGAGATCAAAGGTAAATGACTGTTACAAGAAAGACTTCAGTATCATAGACAGACAATGGATATAGTAATTGACTACAGGATCTCAATATGAAACAGAGAAAGGCCAGGAGTGGTGGCTCACACCCATAATCCCAGCCCATTGGGAGTTTGAGGTGGGCATATCACCTGAGGTCGAAAGTTCAAAACCAGCCAGGTCAACATGGTGAAAGCCCTTGTCTACTAAAAATACAAAAATTACCTGGTTGTGGTAACAAGTGCCTGTAATCCCACCTACATGGGTGGCTGAGGCAGGATAATCATTTGAACCCAGGAGGTGGAGGTTACAGTGAGCCAAGATCATGCCATTGCACCACAGGCTGGGTAACAAGAGTAAAATTTTAACTCAAAAAAGAGAGAAAATTTAAAAATTGGGAATATTTTTTAACAAAAAAAAAAACCACACAAGCCTAGAGAAAACATCAATGTACCAGGTGTGGAGACTTCAAGAATCTCTAGCCTAAAATTTGGTATCATATTCCCCCAGAAAAAATGCCACCTAATAAGCATTTTCACATGTGGTATTTTATCATACAAATTGCAACCTCAGATTACAACATATACATTACGTTAAGATGATATGGTTCATTGAAAGATCGAAATAAATATTCAGAAATCAGCAATAACAAATTGAGAGGTAAAAATTACCTGAGCACATTTCAGGTAAAAATGAATTGCCCTAAGAAATTAAAATTACCATCTGAATGATGCTTAATGAGAAAAATGGAAATAAAGAAAACAAAATGAAATTAACAAAAGGATAAAAAGCACAAAAAATAAAAATTGTGTAGTAGAAGTACAAAAAGGACAAATATGCACTTCAACATTATTAAAAAATATAAGAAAATCAATGTACAAAAATCACAAGCATTCTTATACAACAATAACCGACAAACAGAGAGCCAAATCATGAGTGAACTCCCATTCACAATTGCTTCAAAGAGAATACAATACCTAGGAATCCAACTTACAAGGGATGTGAAGGACCTTTTCAAGGAGAACTACAAACCACTGCTCAATGAAATAAAAGAGTATACAAACAAATGGAAGAACATTCCATGCTCGTGGGTAGGAAGAATCAGTATCGTGAAAATGGCCATACTGCCCAAGGTAATTTATAGATTCAATGTCATACCCATCAAGCTACCAATGACTTTCTTCACAGAATTGGAAAAAACTACTTTAAAGCTCATATTGAACCAAAAATGAGCCTGCATTACCAAGTCAATTCTAAGCCAAAAGAACAAAGCTGGAGGCATCATGCTACCTGACTTCAAACTATACTACAAGGCTACAGTAAAAAAAAAAACAGCATGGTACTGGTACCAAAACAGAGATATAGACTGATGGAACAGAACAGAGCCCTCAGAAATAATGCCACGTATCTACAACTATCTGATCTTTGACAAACGTGACAACAACAAGAAATGGAGAAGGGATTCCCTATTTAGCAAATGGTGCTGGGAAAAATGGCTAGCCATATGTAGAAAGTTGAAACTGGATCCCTTCCTTACACCTTATACAAAAATTAATTCAAGTCGGATTAAAGACTTATATGTTAGATCTAAAACCATAAAAACCCTAGAAGAAAACCTAGGCAATACCATTCAGGACATAGAAATGGGCAAGGACTTCATGTCTAAAACACCAAAAACAATGGCAACAAAAGCCAAAATTGACAAATGGGATCTAATTAAACTAAAGAGCTTCTGCACGGCCAAAGAAACTACCATCAGAGTGAACAGGCAACCTAAAGAATGGGAGAAAATTTTTGCAACCTACTCATCTGACAAAGGGCTAACATCCAGAATCTACAATGAACACAAACAAATTTACAAGAAAAAAACAAACAACACCATCAAAAAGTGGGTGAAGGATATGAACAGACACTTCTCAAAAGAAGACATTTATGCAGCCAAAAAACCACATGAAAAAATGCTCACCATCACTGGGCATCAGAGAAATGCAAATCAAATCCACCATGAGATACCATCTCACACCAGTTAGAATGGTGATCATTAAAATGTCAGGAAACAGCAGATGCTGGAGAAGATGTGGAGAAATAGGAATACTTTTACACTGTTGGTGGGACTGTAAACTAGTTCAACCATTGTGGAAGTCAATGTGGTGATTCCTCAGGGATCTAGAACTAGAAATACCATTTGACCCAGCCATCTCATTACTGGGTATATACCCAAAGGATTATAAATCATGCTGCTATAAAGACACATGCACACGTATGTTTATTGCGGCACTATTCACGATAGCAAAGACTTGGAACCAAGCCAAATGCCCAACAATGATAGGCTGGATTAAGAAAATGTGGCACATATACACCATGGAATACTATGCAGCCATAAAAAATGATGAGTTCGTGTCCTTTATAGGGACATGGGTGAAACTGGAAGCCGTCATTCTCAGCAAACTATCACAAGGATAAAAAACCAAACTCCGCATGTTCTCACCCATAGGTGGGAATTAAACAATGAGAACACAGGGACACAGGGAGGGGAACATCACACACTGGGGACTGTTGTGGGGTCCTGGGAGGGGGTAGGGATAGCATCAGGAGATATATCTAATACTAAGTGACAAGTTAATGGGTGCAGCACACCAACATGGCACATGTATACATATGTAACAAACCTGCACGTTGTACATATGTACCTACAACTTAAAGTATAATAATAATAAAAATTTTTAAAAAAGAAAATGAAGCAGCTTAGGTTTCAATTAACATTAACACAAAAAAATTACTAACAAGACCCCATATAAGCAATGTTTTGAAAGTCACACAGAAGAAGAGAATCTGGAATGCAGGAAGAAAAAAAAGATATGTTATTTGTACACGTGCTTCTATAAGATTACCAGTAAGTTTATGAACATAAATCTTTCAGGAAGAAAGAAGCAGGATAACATACTTAAAACATTGAAAAAAAATACTTTAGAAATCCCTCTTTCTTGGTACCAAAAAGTAGAACTAGTGCTCAGACAAATAATTTTCTCAGCAAGTCAGTTTTACTTTCTGCAGACAGGGTTCTGCTCATCAGCAATCCTGTCATGAGAGCACAATGAAAAAGAAAGTCAGAAATATTTATCTTGTATGCCTTGGGTCCTTACTTCTGTGTCCTATCTCCACTAGTTGGAGCTGGACATCACAGTCTAAGCTAAACCTGATTGGGTAACAACCTAAAAGTTCCCTAAATAGGTAAAGACAATGGAGAACAAAGAAAAAGAGAAAGTTGCTTGCAAAAAATTTAGAGAAGTAATAACATTCCCAAATGAGAAATGGGCATAATCTGCAAGCTGGGACATACTCCAACATGTACAGAACAAACATCTTGGTCAAAGTTCAAGGACATAGAATGTACTCATTCCCTTATATGTAACAGCTACATAGAATAGAGCTTAATAAAGAGTTATTAGCAGAAAATAAGAAGGCTTTGAAGAAAGTTAATCTTCAAAAGTAAATATTATTTCTAAGATTTATTATTTATTATTTAAAAGAAGGAAAACTTTGATGAGAAATTTTTACTTTTTAGAAAGTCTAAATGAGAATACTATATCCAGCAAAAGTATCCTTTAAAATGAAAAAGAAAAAAACGAGCTATATCATGATCTATATCAAGATCTAACCATGTCATGTCTTCAAGAGACTTACTGCAGACCTAATAAAAAAAAGACTAAAAATGGCAGGATAAAAAATACATGTCATGCAAGTGTTAACCAAATAAGAGGAGAAAAGGCAACAATTTATTAAGTTGAAAACTGACATATTTTACAAAATTTGCTTCAAGTCAAAATTCACAAGAGACACAGTAGGACATTCAATTATATTAAGAGGGTTCATTCACTGAGATTCTATAAATATATGAGAATATTCCCAAACACATAATTCAAACATTGACAGAATTGAAGCAAAAATAGAGAGCAATATAATAATGGAAGAATACATTTATATGCCACTTACAGTAATAAAGTAAGACAGAATATCAATAAGGGAACAAAAAGTTTGAATGCACTATACAATATATATACCTAACAAATGCATATATGCAACAGAATACACATTTTTAAATAGTTTATAAAATATTTTTCTACGTGGATTACCTGTGACTGACAAAAGAAACCTTAACAATTTTTTTTAATTTAAATTTTACTGAAAATTTTTTATAGCCCAAATGGAATGAAACTAGAAATCAGTAATGGAAGAAAAGCTGAAAAATTCAAAAAAATTATAAAAAATAGCAACCCAGTTTTTTTTTTCTTTTTAGATACAGTATCACTCTGTCATTAGGATGAAGTGCAGTGGCATGATCTCGGCTAACTGCAACCTCCACTTCCAGGTTCAAGCAATTCCCTTGCCTCAGTCTCTCCAGTAGCTGGAACTACAGGTGCACACCTCCATGCCCAGCTAATTTCGTGAATTTCAGTAGATGAGGGATTGCATCATGTTGGCCAAAATGGTCTCCATCTCCTGATCTGGCCATGCACCCTCTTCAGCCTTCCAAAGTGCTGGGATCACAATTATGAGACACCATGCCTGGCCAATAACACACTTTTGAGCATGCTCTTTATCAAGGGTTGGAAGACATAATATTGTAAATATGTCCATGTGACTTAAAGTGATCCACACATTCAACAGGCTAATTTTAAATTTTAAATTAAATTTTCCCAAGAATAGAAATTAAAAAAAAACCCCACAAAACTACATGAAAATCCTGGCAATCTTTAAAAAGAAGAAAAATAGTGGAAGCATTACACTTAAGCATTTCCAAACACAAAACAAACCTAAAGTAATCAAAGCATTTTGGTACCAGTATAAAGGTAAAATATGAAAGTAATGAAGCAGAATGCAGCACAGAAATAAAATTTTGAATAAAGAGGAGAGACATACTATGTAGGTTTTTCATTCAACTGTTTGTCACAATTCCTTTGGTAAGCAGGACCCAGGCAGGAGAGTAGAGTTGCACCATTTAGACACTAATTTCTGTGAAATTTCAATTCTTTTTTTTCTGGAGGCAGATAGGCCAAGAGATATGTGATAATATACGCTGTTGACAGGGCTCAGGTAGAATAATCATATTATTGTAATTCTGACCCAGCAATACATAACAATGCACCCATGAAAAGGGATTTGTGCTAAAAAGTCTCAACACCTGGGTTCTAGGCCCAGTGATATGACACAATGTCATCATCTTTGAGGGTAACAACCTTAACTTTTAGCTGAGTGTGTATGCTAGAATGACAATCTCTCATGCTTTGTGGGACAATATATTACCCTCTGCAACATGCAAGGGATTTAAAAAACCTGCATAAGGGTTACAAAGCTCTCTGAGGCCTACGTGCTGGTATGAACTCAAAATCTTACATATTAACCTAAACCACGTTTGATAGTCAACATCTCTCCTATAGGCAGGGTTTGGGAAGAAGACCCATTATTATTTCTGTGGATTGGGTCTAAAAATCAGTGACCATCCCACTTGTGGCCAGAGCCACATATAAATGTCACAATTCCAAATTTGTGCTGTATTCTCTTATTAGAATCCTGTTCTCAAGAGTGGGTATTGTGAATGTGGGATGGTGACAACTTTTAATTTCACCTGGCTTTATAACCTAGAGTCCTAATCTGAACTTTTAGCTGGGTCTTGTTATGAAATTTTATACCACCAACGGGTATATGATGTAAGTTAGTGTTGTAAGCTTCTGTGAAGTTGTTGCATATATGAAACCGAGGACATTATCTATTCTCCCAAGACTAAAAACGAAAGGCAAAATGTCTTCTACTGGCTGATCCCAGTATAAGTTTGAACATCATATCTGTGAACTGAAACAAGGTAAATGTCATAATCCCATATGTGGGCAAAAACTAGGCAGGAGGGTAACATCACTTAGATGATGTGCCAGGCAATATGTCAGAATGCATTCTCTAGGCAGGGTGTAGGAAATTTGGTCATATTAACTGGGTGCTGGACCCAGCAATATGACACCATCTCACATGTGGAAAAAGCCCAGCCAAGTTATGAGTGCCAAAATACCTAAATAAAGAGCACAACATATGTCAAAATACCTTTAGTGGCTACAGCACAGGAGGAGAGTCACATAATAATGGTCCTGGGCTAAGCAATATGCCATACGCCATAAGTTCTTCTATATGCAGAAGCAAGGCAGGAGAGTAACATCATCTGACTGCTGGGCCCTGCTGTAGGTCAAAATTCCTGTTTTGTGGGAAGGGCTTGGGAAAAGGAGGAGAGTCACATATTCTGGGTGCTGGGATCAGTAATGTGCCAAAATCCTCCTACTGTGAAGGCACAGGCAGAAAAAGAGGGTCACATCACTTAGGTCATGGGCTCGGAGATATGTCCCAATGTCCTCAGTAGGCAGGGCTCAAGCAGACATGGGGAGTCATATCACCTATGTGCTTCCTTAGAAATATGTTGCAATGTAAAATGTGTGAAGAAATTAGACAGAAGAGCCACATCTCCAGAGTGCTGGGTTTGGAGATATTTCACAAGGCTCTCTTAGGATGGCACCCAGCAAAGATAGTTACATCACCTAGGTGCAGGTTCTCTTTTTATGCCACAGTGCTCCATGTGGCCTCCATATGTGTAGCACCCAAGGAGGGAGTCACTTCACCTAGGGGATAGGCCCAGAGATATGTCGCAATGACCTCTATGAAGCATAGCCCTGATGAAAGAGTACCACAACCTGTGTGCCTGGCCAAAAAGATATCATAGTCAGGGTTAGCAGGACCCAAACAGGATAGCCACATCACCTACCTGATACACCCAGAGATATGTCACAATGCCCTTTTGTGTGCATGGCTCTGGCAAAAGAATACCCTCCCCTGTGCACCTGGTATTGCAATCTGTTGCTATCATTCCTTTGCGTAGGGCTCATTCCAGAGAAGAGAGTTACGTAGCTTATGAGGTAGACACAGAAATATGTTACAATAATTTTGATGTGGCTGGCACAGGCAAGAATGTAACATCACCTAGGTTCTAGATCCAGTGATATATCACATCCTTTCTGAAATAAGTGCCCAGACAGGAGAGTCACATCACCTCTAGGTTGGCCTATGTATATATGATAATCCCATATATACACTGGAGCAAACCTGGAGAGTCAAATTAAACAGGTGTTTGGCAAATATTTGTATCACAATCACATTGTTAGAAAATTCCAAGGGTGAGATTTTCAATGCCACATGTCCTGATTTAATGTATGACAGTTGGTTTTGGTTTTATCCACATGAGATGATGACAATTCTTACTGTCAGCTGGTTGTGCATATGAGATTCACAATTTCTACTGTGTACCAAGCCCTGTTTGACTCTGTCTGTATAACTAAAGACTTTGTAAAATATGTGTGCTTTTTGTAATTGTTTGTAACCTTTGTAGAAGAAGGAAATCCAAGACATTTGGGATCCCTAAACTTAGTTATTCAAGTAGGAAAAGAGGAAGTTAAATTGTTTCTATTTACAGTTGGCATGACCGTATATCTAGAAAACCTCATTATCTGAGCCCAACATGTCCTTATGCTGATAAGCAAATTTAGCAAAGTCTCAGGATAATAAATAAATGTGTAAAAATTACAGGCATTCCTGCATACCAAAAATGGACAAAGAGAGAGTCAAATCATAAATGGATTCCCATTCACAATTGCTACAAAGAGAACAAAATACCTAGGAATACAATATACAAGGGGTGTGAAAAACCTCTTTAAGGAGAACTAGAAACCACTGCTCAAGGAAATAAGAGAGGACACAAACAAATGAAAAAAAAATTCTATGCTCATTGATAGGAATATTGAATATCGTGAAAATGACCATACTGCTGAAAGTAATTCACACAACCAGTGCTATCTCCATAAGCTACCAATGACTTTCTTCATGCAACTGGAAAAAAACAACTACTTTAAACTTTATATGGAACAAAAAAAGAGCCCACATAGCCAATACAATCTTAAGCAAAAAGAACAAAGAAGGAGGCATCACACTACCTGACTTCAAACTATACCACAAGGCTATGGTAACTAAAATTGCATGGTACTGGTACCAAAACAGTTACATAGAAAAATGGAACAGAATAGAAGCCTCAGAAATAACACCATACATCTACAACCATCTGATCTTTGACAAACCTGACACAAACAAGCAATGGGGAAAAGAATTCCTGTGTAATAAATTGTATTGGGAAAACTGTCAAGTCATATGCAGATAAATGAAACTGGACCCCTTGCTTACAACTTGTACAATAAAAAACTCAGGATGGACTAAAGACTTAAACATAAGACCTAAAATCATAAAAAATCATAGAAGAAAGCCTAGGCAATACCATTAAGGACATAGGCATGGGCAAAGACTTCATGTTTTAACACCAAAGCAATGGCATCAAATGCCAAACAGAAAAATGGGATCTAATTAGACTAATGAGTTTTTGTGCAGCAAAATAAACTACCATCAGAATGAACAGGCAACCTCCAAACTAGAAGAATTTTTCTTTTTGCAATCTATCCATCTGACAAGGGCTTATATGCAGAATATACAAAGAACTTAAACACATTAACAAGAAAAAAGAAAAGAAAACTCATCAAAAAGTGGGCAAAGGATGTGAACAGACACTTCGCCAAAGAAGACATTTATGAAGCCAACAAACATATAAAAAGTGCTCATTATCACTGTTAACTAGAGAAATGCAAATCAAAGTCACAACGAGATATCATCTCATGCCAGGTAAGGCAATCATTAAAAAGTCAGGAAACAGATGCTGGAGAGCATGTAAAGAAATAGGAAGGCTTTTACACTGTTGGTGGGAGTGTAAATTAGTTCAACCATTGTGGAAGACTGTGTGGTGATTCCTCAAGGATCTAGAACTAGAAATACCATTTGACCAAGCAATCCTATTACTATATACCTATTACTATATACTCAAAAGATTATAAATCATGCTACTATAAAGACACATGCACATGTTTGTTAGTTGTGGCACTATTCACAATAGCAAAGGCTTGGAACAAACACAAATGTTCATTGATAGACTGTATAAAAAAATGTGGCACACAGACACCATGAAATACTATGCAGCCATACAAAGGGATGAATTCATGTCCTTTGCCGGGACATGGATGAAGCTGAAAACTGTCTTTCTCAGCAAACTATTACAAGAACAGAAAACCAAACACAGCAGGTACTCACTCATAGGTGGTAGTTCAACAATGAGAACACATGGACACCGGGAGGGAAACATCATACACTGGGGCCTGTCATGGGGTTAGGCGAGGGATAACATTAGGAGAAATATCTAATGCATGGGCTGGGTTGATTAGTGCAGCAAACCACCATGGTACATACATAACAGTGTAAGAAAACTGCACGTTATGTACATGTACACCAGAACTTAAAGTTAAAAAACAAAAAAAACTAGGCAGAATGTTAATGTCACTTAGGTGCTGTGCCACAAAATATGTCGCCATGCCCTCTTTAGGCAGGACCTAGTAAAAAGGGTCACATTAACTGGAGACTGGAGCCAACAATATGATACAAGAATGCGTAGAAGAAACCCAGCAAAGTGTTGACAGCCAAAACACCTATGGAAAGGGTCAAGGATATGTCAAAATTCCTGCCATGGCTCTGGCACAGGGTGGAAAGTCACATCATTATGGTTCTTGGCCAAACAATATGCTATAATTCTTTTCTTATTAATAACCTAGGCAGAAGAGTGACATCATCCACATGCTGGGCCCTGAAATATGGCAAACGTTTTCTGTTCATGGGTGTTGTTGAGCAACAAGACAAGTCATATTACTTAAGTGCTAGGCTCATCAATATATCAAAATCTTCCCATTGTAAAGGACCATACAGAAGAAGAAAGTCACATCACTTAGATCATGGGCTCACAGATATGACCCAATGTCACCTGTAGGCTGGGATCAGGAAGAAAAAGAGAGTCATATCACCTAGGTACTTCTTTAGGTAAATGCCACTATTTAATATGTGAGTGGAAAACAATCTGAAGAGCCACATCACCTCATCCTGGGTCCTGAGATATTCACAAGACCCCCTTAGTAAAGGACAAAGGCAAGAGAGTTACATCAAGTAGATGCAAGTTCCACCCTTATGTGACAATGCTCCATGTGGGCCGGGCCAAGCAAGAAGTTACATAGGTGACATGCCCAGAGGTATGTCACAAGGCTTTCTTAAAGCATGGCCCTAGCAAGAGTACCATCACCTTTTTGCCTGGCCTAGCAATATATTAATATTCAAGGGGGCAGTTCCCAAGCACAGGAGCCGTATCACCTACATAACAGGCCCTGTGATATGTCAAAATGCCCTCTTTTTTTCATGGCCCTAGAAAAAAACTATCATTACCTCTGTGTCTGGCCTAAGAATATGTCATTGTCCTGCCCTGTGTGCAGGGCCCATTCAAAAGACGAGAGTATTGTCTTCTAAGTGATGGGCACACAGATATGTCACAAGAATGTGACACATCTGAGTGTGGATTCAGTAATATCACAATCTTACTGAGAGCAGGGCCCAGGTAGAAGAGTCACATCACTTCAAGTTTGGCTCAGGTAGATATCCAAATTCCATATGTAGCCTGGAAACAGTCTGAAGAGTGAAATCACACAGGTCGTTGGGAAAAATTTATGTCACAGTAATGATGGAATTAAATTCTAGTAATAAGATATACAATACCACACATGTCCTGTTTTCATGTGGGAGAGTTGCCTTCATCCATCTGTTATGATGAAAGCCCTTACTGGCAACTGGGTGTGTATATGAGACTCAAAATTTTCTCTGTGTGCTAGGACCTGTTATGATACTCTTTATACAAACCAAGGGTGTGATAATATGTCTGGGTGTTGTCATGATATGTGACCTTCTTACCAGAAGGTGATCCTGGACAACACTCATGTCCCTAACATAGTTATAAGAGTCAAAATTTCTCCTATTGCCTTGGTTCACATATAAGAGTCATTATCATGCCTGTTACTGTGCCTAAGTATAAGTCACCATCCACTCTCTTGTGGTTAAACAGGCAGGACAACCACATCACCTAAATCCTGAGCCAGAAATATTCCAATATTCTCTTTAAAGGCAAGACTCTAACAGAAAATTAGCAAAACTTGGGTGTTAGGCAAAGCTCTATGGCAAAATGGCCCTTGAGGAAGAAGGCCAGACAGGAGAGGGAGAGTCATATAAGATAAATGATGGACCCAGAGATGCATCACAATGTTTCGTGTTGAAAGGCTCAGGCCAGAGAGTCATGCCATTTGGATGCAGTGCTTAGAAATGCTACAATCTTCAATGGAAGCAGGGTTTAGACTGGAGAGGAGAGTCACATATCTTATGTGATAAGTATAGAGATATGTTACAATCCCTTCTGAGGTCACTTTTAGACAGGATAATCCAATTACCAAGGTGCTTGGCCCAGGCATGTGTCAAAATATAATCTGTGGGCTATAAGTAAAAAGGACTATTAAATTACAAAGGAGCTGGGCAAAGGTATGTGTCACAAAAACAACTGTGGAAATGTTCAGAAATGAGAGTCACCACCCTGCACATGTCCTGTCTCCAGGTACAAGAGTCATTATTAGGGCTTTGGTCTGGTTTCAGGTATATGGCACAATATCATCCGTGGCAGGGAGAAGAAAGGAAAGTCACATCATCTGTGTGGGTGCTAGTCCAGTGAAATGTTACAATCCTACTTTTGGGCAGGACTCTGGAAGAAGAGTCACATCACCTGGATCCTGGTTACAGTGATATATGTAAATGCCCCCTGTAGGCAAGGCTTAGGAAGAACAGTAGGAAAACTTCATCTTGGCAATTGGAATGAATATATGTCACAAAAGCTGCTATGTGAAGAACCAAAGCAGAAGAGTGACCTAATGTTGGTGCTGGGTTCAGCCACATGTCACAATCTCTTTGCTGGTCAGGGCCCAGGAAAGAGAGAAGAAACATTACCTAGATACTGAGCCATGGAATATATAAAAAAGCTTCCTATTGGCAAAGCCCCCACAAAAAGAGTCACATCATCTGAGTGCAGTGCCCAGTTATGTGTCACAATGCATTGTAAATGCAGGGCCAAGGTAGAAGGAAGCAGTCACATCACTTATGTGATGAACCTAGATAAAAGCCACAGTGCTGTTTTTAGGCAGGCGTCAGGGCAAGATTTCACATCACCTGTGTGCTTGTCACAGTGATATGTAAAAGTGCCCTTTGTCACATGGTGAAAAAAGTGTCATACATTGCTTAGGTGTTTGGTGCATGTATGTCACAATTTCAACTGTGCCCTGGGTGTAGAAACATAGTTAAATCACTCAGATGTTGATAAAAGTCAACACCTCCTGTGAATTGGGTCAAAGTATGGTAGTCACAATCTCAACAATAAGCAAGATTCATGTATAAGAGTCCCAATCCCACCTGAAGATTGTGTTCCAGTGGGAGAGTCACAGCACCACTGTTCTGCTGAATCATGGTTCAAAAGTCACCTAACAACCTGTGGATCAGATTCATGCATGAAAGCAACAATTTCAAGCTTCTACTGATTATATGTGTGAGATTTAGTACCTCATATGTAGACTCTGTTAATGTGTGAGAATAACAATTGTATCAGGTGAGTGTTAATCCAAGAGTCACAGTAGCACCTGGTATCTGTTGCCTGCTATGACACCCTTTGTACCACTCAGGCTTTATGTGATATGCCTAAATAGAATATGTTACTGTGAATTCTTACAGGTGGGTGATCTTGGACTTTACCCATGGCGGTAAGGCTGGCTATGAGAGTCAAAAAACCTTCCCTGACTGGGTCTAGTTATGAGATTTATTATTGTGCATATGAGCTGAAGCCAGCTATAAGTCCCAGTTTCAGCTTCGGGCAGAGACAAGAAAGAAGAGTCTCATCATCTGGGTTCTGATCCAGGGATAGATTATCATGTCCATTGTAGGCAGGATCCAGTCAGAAGAGTCATATCACCTGGGCACAGTCTCAGATAATATACAATCATGCCCACCATATACAGGGTTGAAAATAGAGTGGATAGTCACATTCTCTTGGTACAGGGCTCAGCAATATGTTATAATTCCCCTCTTGGCAGAGTCCAGGATAAAGAGGAGAGTCACATCACCTAGGTTTTACACTCAGTGGTATGTCACAATTTCTTCAGAGAGCAGGATCCAGGCAGGAAAGTAGATTCACATTACCTAGATGCAATATCTAACAATAGGTCACAGTATCCCAGTGGACAGTGAACTGGCAGGAGAGACACGCCATCTAGCTGATAGGAATGAAGATATTTGACAATATCCACTGTTGGCAGGGTCCAAGCAGAAGAGTCACATTATTACAAATCTAACACAGGGATATTTCACAAAGCACCCATGAAAATAGAATTTAACCGAAAGTTCTCAATACCTAGAGGTACTGGACCCAGTGATATGACACAACCTCTTCATGTATTAGGGTGATGTCTTTGATTGTTAGCTTGGTGTGTATATAAAAGGTGCAATGTCATGTGTGTTCTGAGTCATCATACAACACACTCTACAACAGCCGAAAGCTTTATGCGACATTCATGAGAGTTGCAATCTTTTCTGTGGCCTACATGCTCACATTAACTCACAATCCTACATATTGCTATAAACCCAGTTATGATAGTCCTCATCTCTCTTATAGGCTGGGTTTAGACAGGATCGCTCATTATTATGTCCCGGATCTGTGTCCAGAAATGAGTCACCATCTCACCTGTATCAAAATCGACATACAAAAGTCACAATTCCATCTCTTTACTTTATTTATATTTGAAACTCAGGACTTCAACACTGAGCTTTGTAAATGTGAGATGATGACAACATTTGCTCTCACCTGAATGTGTAAACAACAGCCACGATTTTAACTGTTTGCTAGGCCCTTTTATAAAGTTCTAGGTACCATCCAAGGATTTTATATAGTATGAGTTACTATTTTAAACTTTTGTTAGCTTTATTCAAATTTGCAACTCAAAGTTGTAGTGTAGTGATGAGAGACAAAACATCTGCTATTGGTAGAATTCCAATTTCAGTTGATAATCATACCTCTGAAATGAAGCAATGTAAATTTCATAAACCCATTTGTAGAAAAAAATAGCAGGAGGGTAGAACAACTTACATTCTGTGCCAAGCAAATATGTCACAATGCCCTTTCTATGCAGGGTCTGGAATGCGGGTTACAATAACTGGGTGCTGGACCCAGCAATATGAGACAATCCCAAATGTGGATAAAACAAACCCAGAAAAATAATGAGAGCAAAACCACCTACAGAATTGACCCAAGGTATGTAAAAATACTTTCTGTTGCTCTGGCAGAATCAGGAGAGTTAGATCATCAGCAGTATGCCATAATTCTATCTTTACGCAGGACCCAGTCAGAAGAGGAACAACATCTTGGTGCTGGGCCCAGCAATACATCAAAATTCCTTTTTATGGCCACAGTTTGTTAAAAAATGAAGAGTCATATTACCTAATTATTTGGCATAGCAATATGTTACATCAACTCATTGTAAAAACAAACAACAAAACAAAACAAAACAAACAAGCAAAAGAAAATAGTCACATTACTTAAGACACAGCCTCAGATATATAGTCTAATGTCCCAAGTAGGTAAGACTCAGGCATAACAGAAGAGTCATATCACGTTGGTACTTCCCTAGGTTTATGGCATAATCTAACATGTTAGGTGAAGCCAGGCAGAAGATGCTTGGTCTGGAGATGCATCACAAGTCTCCCTTAAGACAGGAACCTGGCTAGAGAGTTACAGCAAATGAGTGCAGGTTCTACACTTAAATCACAATGTTCTATGTGGTCGGGCTCAAGCACAGAGTCACACCATCTAGCTGATAGGCACAGAGATATATCACAATGTCCTCCTTGAGTTATGGCCCTGGTGAAAGAGCACCATCACCTGTGTAACTAGCCTAGCAATATGTCACTATTCAGGTAAGCAGGACCCAAACAGGAGAGCAACATCACCTAGCTGATAGGCCCAGAGATTTGTCAAATGCCCTCTTTAGGACAGGGCCCTAGCGAAATAATACTGTGACCTCTTTGCCTGGCCCAGGCAAGTTACTATTCCCCACTGTGTGCAAGGCCCATTCTAATGAGTAGAGTTATGTCACCTAAGTGGTTGACACGGTGATATGTCCCAGTGATTTCTGTGCACATGACTCAGGCAAAAATGTAACATGACCTGAGTGCTGGATCTAGTGATATGCATAATTCTTACTGAGAGCAGGGCCTAGGACAAAGCATTACATCACCTAGAATTTGGCCCAGGTAGATATCAAAATAACTTTGTGGGCTGGAGCAAGTTTGAAGGGTCAAATAATACAGTGGCTCAGCTGGCAAAGATTTATATCACAAACACACTGGCAGAAAATTATGAGGATGAGATTTAAAATACTACACATGTCCTATTTTCATGAATGACATTTGGCTTTATATATATGAGATGATGACAGTCCTTATGGTCAGATTGGTGTGCATATGAGACTCAAAGTTTCACCTTTCTACTGGGTTCCATTATTATAATCTCTGTACAAGCCAAGGGCTTTATAAAATATCCTAGGCTGTTAAAATCTTCTTTGTCCTTTTTTACAAGAAAGTGATTCATTCACTCCTGTTTCTGAGGCAAGTTATGAAATTTAAAATTACTCAAATTTCTGGGGTCCACATATGACAGTCATAATCATACCTGTGAGTTGTGCCTAGGTGTATGTAACAACTTACTGTGTGGTAATGAAATAGGCATGACAGCCAAGTACACCAAGCACTGAGCCAGAAGTGTTCCAATATTCTCCTTGTTGGCAAGTTACTGTCAGCAAAGTTGCATAACGTGGGGGTTACACTGTCAGGTGTATGGCCCCTATCAGTGTATGGCACAATGCCTCTTGTGAGCAATGTCGAGACAGAAGAAGAGACTCATATCACTGAAATGCTAGGCCCAGAGATGTGTCACAATATTGCATGTGAAAGAACCAGGCAAGAGAGTCAGACCACTTGGATGCAGTTCTTAGAAATGGTACAATCCCAGGTGGAAGAAGGGTCCAGGCAAGAGAGGAGAGTCAGATAACTAGATGATGGGTCCAGAACCATGTTATAATCCTTCCAAAGCATATTGTAAAGATAGGAGAGTCAAATCACCAACGTACTCAGCTGAGGTATATATCCAAATCTAATTTGTGGGATACACCTTGGTAGGATAATTAAGTTGAAGAACTGGGAAATAGTATATATCACAATGACACAGGTGGAAACTTTCAGGAATGGGAGTCACCTTCTCGCATATGACCTGGCTTAAGGTTTAAGAGTCACAATTAGTCCTCTTATTTCGTCTCAAGTATATGGCACAATATCATCTAAGGGCAGAGAGCAAGCAGAAATGTCACATCATCTGGGTGCGTGCTGGTCCTGTGAGATGTCACAATCTTTCATGTGTCCAGGACCCTGGAAGAAGAGTCACATTTCCTGGATGCTGGTTTTAGTGATATATCAAAATTCATTTTCTGGGCAGGCCTTAAGAAGTTGAGGAGATTCATTTTACCTAGGCAATTGGCCTAGATATATGTCACAATGACTGTTATTTGCAAAACCAAGGTATGAAAGTGACCTCACTTTGGCACTGGGTTTAGTAATATGTTAAAATCTCCCTTGCTGTCAGGGTGAGGCAAGAGAGGAGAAACAGGACCTATGTGCTGATCCAAGTGATATATTACAAAGCTTCCTGTTGGCAGAACAGGAATGGAGAGTCACATCACCTGGGTGCACTACCCAGTTATGTGTCACAATGCACCGTAAGTGCACAGAAAAGGAAGTAGAAGTCACATCACTTGCATGATAGACCTAGATATAAGCCACAATGTCTTTTATAGGCAGAGATAAGGCTAATAATTTACCTCACCTGTGTACTGGTCCCAGTGATATGTAAAAGTGCAATTAATAGGCAGGTCCAGGCACCTTTGCTTAGGTATATGTTCTACATATGTCACAATTTCATCAAACAGTAGACTCACATGACCTAAATGCTAGTCTCAGCAATATCTCCACAATCCCACCATTTTGAAGGGTGAAGCAGGGAAAGAGAGTCATATCACTTAGGTCATGGGCTCAGAGATAGATCCCAATATCTTCAGTAGGGAGAACTCAGAAAGGGAGAGTAATATCTCCTATATCCTTCTTTATGTATAAGTCAAAATCTGACACATGGGCAGAAAACAGGCAGAAGAGCCACATTACCTGTGTGCTAGGTTCTATGATATGTCCCAAGTCCCCCTTAGAACAGAAACAAGGTGAAAGAGTTACATCACCTTGGTGCAGGTTTCATTTTCATGTCACAATGTTCTATCTCATTGAGGCCAAAGCATTGAGTAATACCAACTGGGTGACAGGGCCAGAGATATATCACAATGTCCTCTATGAAGCAAAGCCCTGGGTTACCATAGCCCTGGGAAAAGAGTACCATCACCTGTGTGCCTGGCCTAGAAATATGTCACTCTCCAGGATGGCAAGAACCAAGTAGGAGAGCCACATTATCTAGGTGACAGGTCCAGAGATATGCCAAACTGCCCTCCTTTGGGCATTGCTCTGGCAAAAGTATCCCCACCTGTGTGCCTGGCTTTGCAATTTATCACTACCCTTCCTTTGTGCAAGGCCTATTCCAGAGAGGAGATTTACATCACCTATATGGTGGACACAAAAATATGCCACAATAATTTTGGTGAGCGTGGCTCAGGAAAGACTGTACCATCACATGGATACTAGATCCAGTGATATATCACAACACTTAATGAGAGAAGGGCCCAGAGTCACATCAGGAGTCACATCAGGAGACCAGGAGAGTCACATCACCTCGAGTTTGGCCTAGGTGTATATCACAATCCCATATATGGACCTGAGCAAGTCTGGAGAGTCAAATTATACAGGTCTCTGACAAAGATCACCATCCCACTGTCAGAAAATTCCAAATATAAAGTTGGCAATAACTCGCAAGTCCTGTTTTCATGTGTAACAGTTGACTTCATGCAAGATAATGGCAATTCTTACTGTCAGGTGGGTGTGCATAGAAGACTTACACTTTCATCTCTGTGTTGAGCCCTTCTTTGACTCTGTCTATATAACCCAAACACTTTGTAAGACATATTTGAGCATTGTAATCTTTTGTGATGTTTGTACATGAAAGTGATCCAGGACATCATGCATGTCCCTAAACTGAGTTATAAGAGTCAAAATATCCTCTATTGGCTGAATCTACATATGAGAGTCATTATTATTCCTCTGAGCCATGCCTAGGTGTATGTTACAAATTCCCTCTGTGGTTATGGGGCAGGCAGAACAGCCATGTCACCTAAATGCTGGGCCAGAAATATTCCAATATTCTGTTTACAGGGAGTCTCCTGTCCAAAATATCACATACCTTGTGTGCTAAATCCAGCTCTGTTGCACAAATTCCACTGTGCTCAGTATCCAGACAGGAGAGGAGAGGAGAGTCATGTCACATAAAAGCTGAACCCAAAAATATGTCAAAATCCCTCTTATTGAGACAGTCCACAAGAGAGTGTCATGTCATTTGGATTCAATGTTTAGAAATGCTACAATTACTAAAGGAACCTGGGTACAGGCCAAAGATGAGAGTCATGTACCCTAGATAATACATCCAGAAATATGTGGTGATTCCCCTGAAAGCATTGTTAAGGTAGCACAGTCATATCGACAAGGTGCTTGACACAGGTATTTGTCAAAATCTCATTTGTGGGCTATACTTACATGGAATTATTAAATTTCTCAGGTAGTGTATAAAGGTGTATATACAATTACACTTCTGGAAAGGTTTAAGAATAAGACACACCATCCTGCACATGTCCTGGCTGCAGACTTATGAGTTCTTATTAGGCTTTTGTTATGGCCTCAGATAAATGGCACAATATCTCCAGTGGTCAAAGAGAAGGCAAGAAAGTCACATCACCTATGTAGGTGCGGGTCCAGTGAGATGTGACAATTCCCTTGGTGGGCAGGACCCTGGGAGAAGGGTCACATCACCTGGAAGCTCCTTTTAGTGACATTTCATAAACCCCTGTGTGAGGGTTTAAGACTCAGAGCCTCAACAGTTGGCTTTGTAATGCGAGATGGTGGCAACTTCTAATTTCACCTGGGTGTGTAATAGAAAGTCCCAATCTGAGCTTTTTGCTGGACCACGTTATGAAAATTTCTACCACAAAAGAGCTTATACAATATAATTTAGTGCTGTAAGCTTCTGTGAGCTTGGTACAAACTTGCAACCCAAGACCTTACTTATTTCAACAAGCCTAACAATGAAAGGCAAAATATTTTCTTTTGGCTGAATCCCAATGTAAGTTTGATCATCATGGCTGTGAACTGAAGTAAGGTATATATTATAATTACATATGTGTGCAAAACACTAGGCAGGAGTGTAAGATCATTTTGATGCTGTGCCAGGAAATATGTCACAATGTCTTCTCTAGGCAGGGTATAGGAAATTGAGTCACATTAACTGCATGCTGGACCCAGCAATATGATACAATCCCACATGTGGAAAAAACTCAGCTGAGTTATGAGAGCCAAAATACCTAAATAATATGCCCAAGATATGTCAACATACCTACAGTAGCTCCAGCACAAGCAGGAAAGTCACATCATAAGGGTGCTGGGACCAGCAATATGCAAATATGTCATAATTAGCTCTTTATGCAGATTCCAGTAGATGATTAACAGCATCTGGGTGCTGGGCAATGCAATAGGTCAAAATTTCTTTCCTGTGGGCCAGGTTTGGGTAAAAGGAGAGAGTCACATATCCTAAGTGCTAGCTTCAGCAATGTTCCAAAATCCTGTTATGAACGCCCAGGCAGAAAAGGAGAGTCACATCATTTAGGTCATGGGCTCAGAGATATGTCCCAATGTCCCAGTAGACAGGGCTCAGGTAGAAGTGGAGAGGCATATCACATATGTGCTTCCCTAGGAATATGTCACGATGTAATATGTGGAAAAAAACCAGGCAGAATAGCAACATCACTTGGGGGCTGTGTCCCAAGACATGTCAAAGACTCTCTTAATGCAGCACCCAGCCAAGAGAGAAATATCACACTAGATGCAAGTTTTCTGATTATGCCACAATGCCCCATATGTGTAGGGCTCAAGGAGGCCGTCACTTCACCCAGATGATAGGCCCAGAGATATGCCACAATGTCCACTATGAAGCAGAGCCCTGGCAAAAGAATACCATCACCTGTGTGCCTGGGCTAGAAATATGTAACTCTTAAGGTTGGAAAAGCCCAAGGAGGAGAGTCACAGAACCTAGGTGATAGGCCCAGACATATGTCACAATGCCCTCCTTTGGGGATCCACTGGCAAACGAATACCCTTTCCTGTGTGCCTGTTCTCGAAATACGTCACTATCCTTCTGTTGTACAGAACCCATTTCAGAGAGAAGACTTACATCAACTGTGTGGTGGACACAGAAACATGTCACAACAATTTTGGGGCACCTGGCATAGGAAAGTATGTGACATCACCAAGATGCTAGACCCAGGGACATGTCACAATCTTTACTGAAAGATACGACCAGGCAGGAGAGTCATATCACCTCGATGTTGGCCTTGGTAGGTATCATAATCCCATATGTGGGCTGGAACAAATCTTGTGAGTCAAATTACACAGGTGCTTAGCAAAGATTTATATCACAATCACACTGTCAGAAAATTCCAAAGATAAGATTTACAATACCACACATGTCCTGTTTTCATGTGTGACAGTTACCTTCATCCATGTGAGATGATAATAGTCCTCACTTTCAGCTGGCTGTGTGCATACAAGACTCACAATGTCACTTGAGTGCTGAGCCCTGCTTTGACTCTGTCTGTATAGTCCACAGACTTTGTAAAATATACGTGAGTGTTGTCATCTTTTGTGACAGCTGTACAAGAAGGAGATCCAGGGCATCGCACATGTCCCTAAACTTACTTATAAGGGTCAAAATATTCTGTATTTACTGAGTCCACATTTGAGAGTCATTATTATGCCTGTGAGCCATGCTGAGGTATATTTTACAATTCCCTCTGTTGTTGTGAAGCAGGCAGAACAGCCACATCATCAATTGCTGAGCTAGAAATATTTCAATTTTTTTTTTTTGTAGGCAGTGTCCTATCAGAAATCTCACAAAACTTGTGTGATAGATCCAGCTCTGTGGCACAATGTCCCTTGTGGGCAGTGTCCAGGCAGGAGAGGAGAGTAATACAACCTGAATGATGGGCCCAAAAATATGTCAAAATGCCTACTGTTGACATGTCCCAGGCAAGGAGTCAAATCATTTGGATGCAGTGTTTAGAAAAGCTGCAAGTACCAAAGGAAGCAAGGTACAGGCAAAAGAGGAGTCATGTAACCTAGATGAAGAGTCCAGGAATATGTTACAATCTCCTCTGAGTACATTTTTAAGATACCTCAGTCAAAGCACCAAGGTGCTTGGCCAATGAATCTGTCAAAATCTTATTTATGGGCTATACTTAGGCAGAATTATTAAATTACTCAGTAGTTGCACAAAGGTATATGTCACAATTACTCTCATGGAAAGACTTAAGACTAGGAGCCACTATAATGCACAAGTCCTGGGCTCCAGGCATATGAGTTGTTATTAGGCTTCTGTTATAATCTTTGGTATGTGGCACAATATCACTTGTGGCAAGAGAGAAAAAAAAAAAAAGAAAGTCCCATCACCGAAGTGGGTGCAGTTCCAGTGAGATGTCACAATCCACCTTGTGAGAAGGACCCTGGTGGAGGAGTCATGTCACCTGGATGCTGATTTCAGTGACATATCAAAACCCCCTCTCTGGGCAGGACTTTGGTAAGAAAGGAGCCACACTTAGTCGAGGTGATTGGCCTAGATATGTCACGATGTCTGTTCTGTGCAGTACTAAAGCTGGAGAGTGGCCTCACGTTCGTGCTCAGCCCAGCTTTATGTCACAATCTCCCTGTGATCAAGGTACAGGCAAAAACCAAGGAACATCACCTAGACGCTGAGGCAAGTGACATGTTACAATGCTTCCTGTTGGCAGAACACAAAAAGAAGAATCACATCACCAGTGTGCAGTATGTAGTTATGTGCTGCCAAGTTAGCTACTGCCAAGTTATGCCAAGGCAGTGTCAGGGAGCCACGACCATTATGTGATGGACCTAGATATAAAACACAATTCTTTTTGTAGGCAGGTTTCATGCAGATAACTCACATCACCTGGGTGATGGTCCCAGTGATACATAAAGGTTCCCATTGTAGGCAGAGCCATGAAAGAGGTGATCTATTTCTTAGTTGCCTGTTTCACATATGGTACAATTTATTCTGTGGTCTGGGTCAAGAAAAGATAATCAAATTATTCATGTGCTGAGCAAAGTTACCTTGTCCGAATCATACTCTCAGGAAGGTTCAGAAATAAGTTTTACATCCCACACAAGTCCTAGTTTTGTTTATGTGAGTCAATTCTTTCTATGAGCTGGGTTGAAGTAAGGAGTCACCATCTCAACATTGAACCAGATCCATGTATAAGATCCCCAATCCCACTTGAAAACTGTGTTCCAGCAGGGGAATCAGAGCACCACAGTGTGCTTAATCATGGTTCAAATGTTACAAAACCACCTGTGAATCAGATTCCTGAATGAGAGTAATTATTTCATCTTTTGACTGCTTTTTATATGTGAGATTTAGTACCTCATTCCTAGGCCCTGTTCTGTGTGAGAATGACAAACATTTCAGCTAGGTGTGCATACAAAAGTCCCATTCACCTCTCATTGCTGTTCTCTGTTATGACACTCTTTGTACCATTAAGACTTCATATGATACACTGAGTGTTATAATCCTTCATGAACTTTGTAAAAGTGAAAAATCCAGTATTTTACCCATGGGTTTAAGACTGGATCTGAGAGATAAAGTAACTCTATTGTCTGAGTCCAAGTACAAGAGTTATTATTGTGCATGTGTGCTTAACCAAGATATATGTTACAATTCCACCTGAGAACAGGGAAAAGGCAGGAGAGTCACATCACCTGGGTGCTGAGTATAATCTCCTTAGTAGGCTGTGCCTATTCAGAAGAGTCACATCACCTGGGTATAGCCTCAAATAATATGTTCCCAAGCCCAACGTAGACAGGAAAGAAGAAAAAGGGGAGTCACTCCACATAGGTGCTGTGCTCTGCAATATGCAATAATCCCCTTGATTGGCACAGTCTAGAATATGAAGAAGAGTCACATCACTTAGGTTTTGCAATCAGCGATATGTCAGAACTTTTTTGGTGAGCAGACCCAGGCCAGAGAAGAGATCACATAACCTAGATGTTAAGCCAAACAATATTTCACAATGTCTTCTGATGGCAGTGCACAGGGAGGGGAGACAAATCACCTAGCTTATAGGCCCAGAGATATGAGATAATTTGCCCTGCTGGCAGGGCCCAGGCAGAAAAGTCACATTATTATAATTGTAACCCAGTGATATGTCACAATGCACCCGTGGGAAAAAAATTTAATCCAAAAGGTCACAACACTTGGGTACTAGGCCTAGTAATATGCCAAATATTTTTGACTTTGATGTTGACAACATTAAATGTGGGCTGGGTTTGTATATGAGAGTCGCAATTGCACATTTCCTGGGCTGTTGTATGACACTCTACAACATTTGAAGGTCTTATACAGCATGCATGAGAGTGGCAAACCACTCTGACCCCTACATGCTAGTATAGATTCAAGATCTTACTTATTGCCCTAAACCTAGGTTTTATATCTCTCCTGTAGGCTGGGTTAAGGAATGAGATCCATTATCATGCCTGTGAGCTAGACGTAAAAATGACTCAGCATCCCACCTGTGTTCAGATCCACAGAGGAAGGTCAAAATTCCAACTTCATACTGTATTTACATTTTAGACTCAGGACCATAATTCTGGGCTTTGGCCATGTGGGATGGAAACAACATTTGCTTTCACTTGGGTACATAATCAAGAACCCCAATCTGAACATTTTACTGGTTCTTCTCTTGAAACTCTCTGTACCACCCAAAGAGATTATACGTTATGAGTTATTGTTGTAAAGTTCTGTGAGCTTCATACAAATATGCAAACCAGAACCTTATCTATTGCCCTAAGCCTAGTGATGAAAGGCAAAATATCTCCTATTGGCTGATTCCAATATAAGTTTCATCATCATGCCTGTGATCTGAAGTAAGGTATATGTCACAGTCTCATATGTGGGCAAAAAACTACACAGAAGGGTAATATCTCTTTGGTGCTGTGCCAAGCAATATGTCATAATGCCCTCCCTAGGCAAGGTATAGAAATTAGAGTCACATTAAATTGGTGCTGGACTCAGCAATACAAAACCATCCCAGCTGTGAAAGAAACCCAGACAAAAGATGAGAATCAGAACACCTATATGATGGGCCGCGGATGTGTCAAAATACCTTCTGTGGCTCCAGGACAGTCATGAGGCATGAGATAATGTTTTGTTCTGGACAGGAAATTATCAGGGTTTTGGCCCCAGCAATATGCCATACATCTCTCTGTGTGCAGGACCCAGGCAAAAGAGGAACATTGCATGGGTGCTGGGCCCTGCAATAGGCCAAAAATTCTGGTGATAGGAATGATTCCAGAAAATAAGGAGTGTCAAATAACCTGAGTTCTGGGCTCTGCAATATGTCACAATCCCTTTATTGTAAAGACTAGGCAGGAAATGAGTCATTTCACTTCAGTCTTGGGCTCAGAGATATATCCCAGTGTTCCCAGTATGAAGGACCCACGAAGAAAAGGACAGTCATATCAACTAGGTGCTTCCCTAGTTATATGTCAGAATCTAACTTCTGGGCAGAAACCAGGCAGAAGAGTCATACCACCTGGGTACAGCCTCACGTATAATATGTCACCAGGCCCAATGTAAACAGTTTGCAGAAAAAAAGAAAATCACAACACCTGGGTGCTGGGCTCAGAAACATGTAACAATTTCCTTTCTTGATAGAGTCCAGGACAAAGACAACATTAATGTCACATAGGTTTTGCTCTCAGTGATATGTCACAGTTTCTTCAGTGGGCAGGATCCAGGCAAGAGAGCAGAGTCACATTACCTAGATGCTATATCTAGCAATATGTTACAGAGTTTCCTATGGGAAGGGCAGTGGCAGGAGAGACATATTACCTAGCCAATAGTCCCAGAGATATGTGAAAATATCCCGTTTTCAGGCCTCAGGCAGAAGAGTCACATTATTATGATTCTAATCCATTGATAGGTAAAAATGCTCTTCTGGAAAACAATTTAAACCAAAAAGTCTCAACACAGGTGTACCAGGCCAAGGGTATGACTCAATCTCCTCAACTTTAAGGGGGACACCATTAACTGTTACCTAGTTGTGTATATGTTAGTCACAAACTCATGTGGGTGATGGCCATTGTATGAAACTCTATACAACATTTGAGAACTTTATACAACATACTTGAGAGTTGAAACCTCGCTGAGACCTACATGCTTATATGGATTCACAATTTTATATATTGCACTAAACTCAGATATGACAGTCAATATCTCTCTTATATGATGGTTTCAGGGATGAGAACATTATTAGACCTGTGAGCTGGGTCCAGAATTGAGCCACCATCCCACCTGTGGCCAGACTCTTTGATAAAAGTTACAATTTCATCTATGAGCTGTATTTACTTATTAGACTCAGGACCTCAACAATGAGCTTTGTAGATGTAGGATGGTAATAACTTTTACTTTCACCTGAGTGTGTTGTGGAGTCATGATATTAACATTTTTCTGGACGCTGTTATGAAATTCTCTGTACCACCCAGTAAGTTTTTGTGAGATGAGTTAGTATTGTAAAATTTTGTAAGCTTGTTCAAATATGCAGTGAAGGATTTTACCTACTGACCTAAAGTCGTGAAAGGCAAAATATCTCCTATTGGCTGAATCCCAATAGAAGCGTGATCATCAGGCTTTTGAACTGAAGAAAGGTATATGTCATAATCAAATTTGTGGGCAAAAAAGTAGGCAGAAAGTTGATATCACTTAGGTGCTATAGCAAAAAATATGACACAATGTCTTGTCTAGGCAGGATGTAGGAAAGAATGTCACATTAACTGGGATCTGGAGCCAGCAATATGACACAATCTCATGTAGAAGAAACCGAGCAAAGTGAGAAGACCCAAAACACCTATGGAATGGGCCAAAGATATTTCAAAATACCTTCTCTGGCTCTGGCACAGGCAGGAGAGTCACATCACAAGTGTGCTAGGCCCAGGAATATGCTGAAATTCTCTTTATGCATTACCTAGGCATAAGTGTAACATAATCCAGGTGTGAGGCTCTGAACTACAGCAAAATTCCTGCTTGTGGGTGTTGTTTGGCAATACGATGAAAGTCATGTTACCTAAGTGCTGGGCTCATCAACACAACACAATCTTCCCATTGTAAAGGCTTAGACAGAATGAGAGACTCACATCACTTAGGTCATGGGCTCAGAGATATGGCCCAATGCCACAAATAGGCAGTGCTCAGGCAGAAATAGAAAGTCATAACACCTAGATGTTTTTTAGGTATATGTCACAATTTCATCCGTGTCCAGTCCTTTCGTTCATTTCTTTCTGTCAGCTGGGTGTGCATACAAGACTCACAATTTCACCTATGTGCTGAGCCCTGCTTTGACTCTGTCTGTATAACCCAAAGACCTTCTAAAATATGTATGAGTGTTGTAATCTTTTGTGACCTTTGTAGAAGAAGGTGAGACAGGACATCACACATGTCCTTAAATCTAGTTTTAAGTGTCAAAATATCCTTTATTGGCTGAGTACACATATGAGAGATATTATCATTTCTGTGAGCCATGCCTAGACATCTGTTACAGTATTCTCTGTGGTTATAAAGCAGGCAGAATGGTCTTATCACCTAAATGCTGGACCATACATATTCCAATATTCTCTTTGTAGGCAGGCCCTGTCAAAAATGTCACATAAGTTGTGTGCTAGATCCAGCTCTGTGGCACAATGTCCCTTGTAGGGAATGTCCAGGCAGAAGAGGAGAGTCATATCACCTAAATCTTTGGCCCAAAAATATGTCACAATACTTCCTGTTGACAGAGCTCAGACAAAACAGTCATATTTGGATGTAGTGTTTAGAAATGCTACAATTACCATAGGGAGCTGGGCACAGGCAGGAGAGGGAAGTCATGTAACCTAGATGATGTGTCTGGAAATATGTTACAATACCCCCTGAGGACATTGTTAAGATAGCAAGAGTCTTCTCTCTTTTCTTCTTTATTAGTCTTGCTAGCAGTCTATCAATTTTGTTGATCTTTTCAAAAAACCACCTCCTGGATTGACTGATTTTTTGAAGGGCTTTTTGTGTCTCTATTTCCTTCAGTTCTGCTCTGATCTTAGTTCTGTCTTGCCTTCTGCTAGCTTTTCAACATGTTTGCTCTTGCTTCTCTAGTTCTTTTAATTGCGATGTTAGGGTGCGAATTTTAGATATTCCCCATTTTCTCTTGTGGGCATTTAGTGCTATAAATTTCCCTCTACACACTGCTTTGAATGCGTCCCAGAGATTCTGGTATGTTGTGTCTTTGTTATCTTTGGTTTCAAAGAACATCTTTATTTCTGCCTTCATTTTGTTATGTACCCAGTAGTGATTCAGGAGCAGGTTGTTCAGTTTCCATGTAGTTGAGTGGTTTTGAGTAAATTTCTTAATCCTGAGTTCTAGTTTGATTGCACTGTGGTCTGAGAGACAGTTTGTTATAATTTCTGTTCTTTTATATTTGCTGAGGAGTGCTTTACTTCCAACTATGTGTTCAATTTTGGTATAGGTGTGGTGTGATGCTGAAAAGAATGTATATTCTGTTGATTTGTGGTGGAGAGTACTGTAGATATCTATTAGGTTTACTTGGTGCAGAGCTGAGTTCAATTCCTGGATATCCTTGTTAACTTTTTGTCTCATTGATCTGTCTAATGTTGAGAGAGGGTTGTTAAAATCTCCCATTACTATTGTATGGGAGTCTAAGTCTCTTTGTAGGTCACTAAGGACTTGCTTTATGAATCTGGTTGTTCCTGTATTGGGTGGATATATATTGAGGTTAGTAGCTCTTCTTGTTGAATTGATCCTTTTACCATTATGTAATGACCTTCTTTGTCTCTTTTGATCTTTGTTGGTTTAAAGTCTTTTTCATCAGACACTAGGATTGCAACCCCTGCCTTTTTTTGTTTTCCATTTGCTTGGTAGATCTTCCTCCATCCCCTTATTTTGAGCCTATATGTGTCTCTGCACATGAGATGCATTTCCTGACTACAGCACACTGATGGGTCTTGACTGTTCATCCAATTTGTCAGGCTGTGTCTTTTGATTGGAGTATTTAGCCCATTTACATTTAAGGTTAATATTGTTATGTGTGAATATGATCCTGTCATTATGATGTTAGCTGGATATTTTGCTCATAAGTTGATGCAGTTTCTTCCTAGCCTTGATGGTCTTTACAATTTGGCATGTTTTTGAAGTGGCTGGTACTGGTTTTTCCTTCCCATGTTTAGTGATTCCTTCAGGAGTTCCTTTAGGGCAGGCCCTGTGGTGACAAAATCTTTCAGCACTTGCTTGTCTGTAAAGTATTTTATTTCTCCTTCACTTATGAAGCTTAGTTTGGCTAGATATGAAATTCTGGGTTGAAAATTCTTCAAAAAAAAAGAGAGAAGAATCAAATAGATACAATAAAAAATGATAAATGACATATCACCACTGATCCCACAGAAATACAAACTACCTCCAGAGAATACTATAAACACCTCTACACAAATAACTAGAAAACCTAGGAGAAATGTATAAATTCCTTGACACATACACACCCCCAAGACTGAGCCAGGAAGAAGTGGAATCTCTGAATAGACAAATAACAGGCTCTGAAATTGAGGCTATAATTAATAGCTTACCAACTAAAAAAAGTCCAGGACCAGATGGATTCACAGACAAATTTTACCAGAGGTACAAGGAGGAGTTAGTACTATTCCTTCTGAAACTATTCCAATCAACTGAAAAAGAGAGAATCCTCTCTAACTCATTTTATGAGGTCAGCATCATCCTGATAACAAAGCCTGGCAGACAGACAACAAATAAAGATAATTTTAGATCAATGTTCTTGATGAACATTGATGCAAAAATCCTCAATAAAATACTGGCAAACTGAATCCAGCAGCTCGTCAGAAAGATTATCCACCATGATCAAGTGAGCTTCATTCCTGGGATGCAAGGTTGGTTCAACATATGAAAATCAACAAATGTAATCCAACATATAAACAGAACCAAAGACAAAAACCACATGATTATCTCAATAGATACAAAAAAGGCCTTTGACAAAATTCAACAGCTCTTCATGCTAAAAACTCTCAATAACTTTGGTATTGAAGCAATGTATCTTAAAATAATAAGAGCTATCTATGAAAAACCCACAGCCAATATCATACTGAACGGGCAAAAAACTGGAAGCATTCCCTTTGAAAACTGTCACAGGACAAGGATGCCCTCTCTCACCACTCCTATTCAACATAGTTTTGAAAGTTCTGGCCAGAGCATTCAGGCAGGAGAAGGAAATAAAGGGTATTCAATTAGGAAAAGAGGAAGTCAAATTGTCCCTGTTTTCAGATGACGTGATTGTATATCTATAAAACCCCATTGTCTCAGCCCAAAATCTCCTTAAGCTGATAAGCAACTTCAGAAAAATCTCAGGATACAAAATCAATGTGTAAAAATCGTGAGCATTCTTATAAATGAATAACAGACAAACAGAGAGCCAAATCATGAGTGAACTCCCATTCACAATTGCTTCAAAGAGAATAAAATGCCTAGGAATCCAACTCACAAAGGATGAGAAGGACCTCTTCAAGGAGAAACAAACCACTGCTCAATGAATCAAAAGAGGACACAAACAAATGGAAGAACATTCCATGCTCATGGGTAGGAAGAATCAGTATCAGGAAAATGGCCATACTGTCCAAGATAATTTATAGATTAAATGTCATCCTCATCAAGCTACCAATGACTTTCTTCACAGAATTGGAAAAAGCTACTTCAAAGTTCATATGGAACCGAAAAATAGCCCACATTTTCAAGTCAATCCTAAGCCAAAAGAGCAAAGCTGGAGGCATCATGCTACCTGACTTCAAACTATACTACAAGGCTCAGTAACCAAAAGAGCATGGTACTGGTACCAAAACAGAGATATAGACCAATGGAACAGAACAGAGCCCTCAGAAGTAATGCCACATATCAGATAGTTATCTGATCTTTGACAAACCTGAGACAAACAGGAAATGAGGGAAGGATTCCCTGTTTAATAAATGGTGCTGGGAAAACTGGCTAGCCATATGTAGAAAGCTGAAACTGGATCCCTTCCTTACACCTCATAAAAAATTAATTCAAGATGGACTAAAGACTTAAATGTTAGACCTCAAGCCATACAACTCCTAGAAGAAAACCCTGGTAATACCATTCAGGACATAGGCATGGGCAAGGACTTCATGTCTAAAACATCAAAAGCAGTGGCAACAAAAGCCAACATTGACAAATGGGATCTAAGTAAACTAAAGAGCTTCTGCATAACAACAGAAACTACCATCAGTGTGAACAGGCAACCTACAGAATGGGGGAAAATTTTTGCAATCTACTCACCTGACAAAGGGCTAATCTCCAGAATCTACAATGAACTCAATCAAATTTACAAGAAAAAAACAAACAACCCCATCAACAAGTGGGTAAAGGATATGAACAGACACTTCTCAAAAGAAGGCATTCATGCAGCCAAAAAACACATGAAAAAATGCTCACCATCACTGGCCATCAGAGAAATGCAAATCAAAACCACAAGGAGGTACCATCTCACACCATTTAGAATGGCGATCATTAAAAAGTCAGGAAACAACAGGTGCTGGAGAGGATGTAGAGAATTAGGAACACCTTTACACTGTTGGTGGGACTGTAAACCAGTTCAACCATTGTGGAAGTCAGTGTGGCAATTCCTCAGGGATCTAGAACTAGAAATACCATTTGACCCAGCCATCTCATTACTGGGTATGTACCCAAAGGATTATAAATCATGCTGCTATAAAGACACATGCACACATATGTCTATTGCGGCACTATTCACAATAGCAAAGACTTGGAACCAACCCAGATGTCCAATAATGATAGACTGGATTAAGAAAATGTGGCACATATACGCTATGGAATACTACGCAGCCATAAAAAATGATGAGCTCATGTCTTTTCTAGGGATGTGGTTGAAGCCGGAATCCATCATTTTCAGCAAACTATCACAAGGACAAAAAACCAAACAGCTCATATTCTCACTCACTGGTGGGAATTGAAAAATGAGAACATATGGACACAGAAAGGGGAACATCAGACACCGGGGCCTGTTGTGGTGTGCGGGGAGAGGGGAGGGATAGCATTTGGAGATATACCTAATGTTAAATGACGAGTTAATGGGTGCAGCACTCCAACATGGCACGTGTATACATATGTAACAAGCCTGCACGTTGTGCACATGTACCCTAAAACTTAAAGTATAATAATTAAAAAATAAAATAAAATAAGATAGCAAGAGTGAAATCACCAAGGTGCTTGGCCCAGGTATTTGTCAAAATCTCATTTGTGGGCTACATCTAGGCAGAACTATCAAATCACTCAAGAGCTGGGCAAAGGTATGTGTCACAGTTAAACTTGTGCAAGGGTTTAAGAATAAGAGTCACCATGCTGCACATATCCTTGCTTCAGCCATATTAGCTATTATTAGGCTTTTGTTATCATCTCAATTGTATGGCACAGTATCAACTCTGGTCAGAGAATGCAAGAAAGTCACATCACCTATGTGGGTGTGCCTCCAGTGAGATATCACAATCCACCTTGTGGGTAGAACCTTGGCAGATGAGTCACATCACCTGGATGCTGGTTTCACAGACATCAAAACCCCCCTGTGAACATGACTTTGGAAAGAGGTGAGACTCAGTTAACCTAGGCAATTGGCTTAGATGTATGTCCAAATTTGACTTATGTACAGTACCAAGGCTGGAGAGTGACCTCATGTTGGCAGTGGGTTCAGCTATGTCACAATCTCCCTGTGGTCAGAACCCAGGCACAAGTGAAGAAACATCACCTTAGGTTCTGAACCAAGTGATATGTTACAATGCTTCCTGTTGGCAGAACACAAAAAGGAGAATCCCATAACCTGGAGGAAGTTCCCAGTTATGTGTCACAATGCACTGTAACTGCAGGGTCAAGGCAGTACAAAGGAGTAACATCACTTATGTGATGGACCTAGTTATAGGACACAATTGTCTTTGCAGGCAGGCTTCAGGCAGGTAATTCACATCATCTTGATTATGGTCCCAGTGATATATAAAGGTGCCCTTTTTAGGCAGAGTCAAGGAAAGTATTGTATATTGCTTAGGTGCTTGTTCCACATATGGCACAATTTCATCTGTGATCTCAGCCTAGAAAAGAGAAACAGGTTATTTATGTGCTTGGCAAAGTTACCTGCCCCAATCACATGCTAAGAAAGTTTCAGAAATAATTTTCACATCCCACACAAATCCCGGTTTCATGTATGTGAATCAATCCTGTCTATTAGTTAGGCCAAAGTAGAGGAGTCACAATCTCAACAATAGGCAAGATCCATGTATAAGAGCCCTGATGAGATATTGGGTCATTGAGATCGTGTCATATCACTGGGCCTAGTAGCCACGTGTTAAAGCTTTTGCTTAAATTGTTTCCTGTATGTGCATTCTTCTGCCTGGGCACTGCCAACAAGAAATATTATCACATATCTCCAAGAGTATCCCCTAGGTGATTTGTCTATTTTACCTGTGCTTTGCTCCCAAGGAACATTGTGACATCTTTTAATGTAGCATCTAGGAAATGTCACTTCTCTCTCCTGCCTAGGTAATGTGCACTAAAGAAATAGGTACATAGTGCTGAATGCAAAAGTTAAATAATGCAATTCTCCTCTTTATTCTGGAGTCTGCGAAATAAGGCATTATTAAATATTGCTGAGGCTAGCACCTTGAGGCTGTACCCAGATGACATGACTCTTCTGACTTGGCACTGCCTGAAAAAGATATTATAATGTATTGTGAGCTTAGAATCCTGGTGATGAGACTCTCCTGTTTTGGTTCTGCGCACAGGAGAAACAGTGACAGATCTGGGTTCAGCTGACATGGATAAATACAGCTATTATAACTGGACCCAGAAAGAAGAGATATTTTGTCTTTCATAACCAGTCTTATGACCATAAGTAAAGAAATGTGTCTACTAATTTTATAAAGTTTACAGAAAACTATGACACTCAGGCATATGACATAAAGCCTGAGTAGTACAAATAATTTCATAACAGGGACAGCAATCTGATGCTATTGAGACCCTTGGATATATATTCAGCTGACCCGACTGTCATTCTCTCACAAGAACAGAGCCAAAAAAATAGGTACTAAATCTCACACAAAAGAGCTGTCAAAGTTTGAAACTGTTCCTCTCATACTTGGATCTGATCCCCGGGTCTTTTGGTGATGCATAATTCAGCACACCTGTGAGGCTGTGACTCCCCTACTGGAACACAATCTTCAAGTGGAATTGGGCATCTTATACATGGATCTTGCCCACTGTTGAGATTGTGACTCCTCTACTTCAACCCAACTGATAGGGTGTGTTGACTCAAATACTCAAATGTTGGACTTTCATGGGACTGTGAAACTTATATCTGAATATTTCCTGGTGTGCGCTTAAGACAAAAGTTAGCCTAGCTTCTGAATAACTGGACTCTCCTTTTTAGGCCATAACCACAGACAAAACTGTGACATAATTGAACCATACACCTAAGCATAGGTGCCTGGGATTGCCTACAAACTGCACTGTGACTCCCTTCTACTGCCTTGGCCCTGCACTTATGGTGCATTAAGACACATAACTGGGTTCTGCACCCAGGTGCTGTGACTCTCCCTTTTGGGTTCTACCAATGAGAAGCTTTGTAACAACATATCACTTTGCTCAGCACTTAGGTCATGTTTCTACTCTCTTGTCTTGACCTGATCACAGGGGAGATTGTGACATATTGATAAACCCAGCACCAAGGTGTGGTCACTTTTATACCTTGGTTTTGCACATAGCACCCATTGTGACATATATCTATGCCAATTGCCTAGGTGAAGTGACCCTCCTCTCTTTCTTAAGCCCTGCTCACAGGTGGAATTTTGATATATCACTAAAAACAGTATCCAGCTGATGTGATGCTTCTTCCAGGGTCCTGCCCAGAAGATGGATTGTGACATCTCACTGGACCAGCACCCACCCAGGTGTGGTGACCTTCCCACTTGCTCTCTGCACACAGGTGATATTTTGCCATATACCTGAGATGAGATAAGAGGACTAATCATGACTCTTAAATCTGGAGCCAGGTCATATACAAGAAGGTGACTCCTGTTTCTGGAGCATTTCACTAGTGTTACTGTGACATATACATTTGCCCAGTTCCTGGGTGACTTAATAATCCTGCCTAGGTGCAGTCCACAAATGAGATTTGCACATATACCTCAGCTGGTCACATTTGTGATTTGACTCTCCTGTCTTAACAATATCCTCAGGAAGGATTGTAAAATGTCTCTGAATCCATCATCTAGTTTACCTGTCTCACCTCCTCTGACTGGATCCTGCTTCCACTGGGGATTGTAATGTTTTTTTCTTTTTCTTTCATTTTGTCACCTAGGTTGCAGTGCAGTGCTGCAGTCTCGGCTCACTACAACCTCTGCCTTGGGGATTGTAGCATTTCTAAGCACTTCATGCAAATGTCATGACTCTCTTGCCTGGTCCTTTCAACAGAAGGCATTGTTGCACATGTCTTGGCCAGTCATTTAGATTATATGACTCTCCTCTTCTGCCTAGGCACTGCTTAAAAGGGGCATTGTGCCATACATCTGGGTGTAACCCAGAAGTTATGCAACTTTTCTTCCAGGAGCTTGCCTACAAGAATATTTGAAAATTTCTGGTTCAGCATTTAGGTGACTTGGCTGTCAAGCCTGTTTCATTACCACAGAGTAAATTGTGACATATAACTATGCACAACTCACAGGCATAGTATTGACTCTCATACCCCACAAATAGGAGTAATTTTGACCCTCATTACTTGCTATAGAAACATGAGTGATTAAGTCTCTCTCAGTTAAAGAAAGGTTACAGAAGATTATAATAGCCTCGGAAATTTTATAAAGCCCTTGGCTTGTACAGAGAGTGTAATAACAGAACATAACAGAAAGGTGAAATTGTGAGTCTCATATACACACCAAGCCGACAGTGAGGACTGTTACCATCTCACATATATGAAGCCAGATGTCAGTCCTGAAATCAGGATATGTGTGGTATTGTAAATCTCATCCAGTGAATTTTCTGCCAGTGTGACTGTGACATAAATATTTGCCTAGCACCTATGTGATTTGACTATCCAGACTGGTTTCATCCCATGTAAGTTATTGTCATGTGTACCTTGGCCACCTTCTAGGTGATGTGACTCTCCTGCCTAGGCCTTGCTCTCAGTAAGAATTGTGACATATCACTGGATCCAGGACACTGGTCATGTTACATTTTTGCCTGAGCCCTGCCTACAGAAATTATTGTGACATATGACTGTGTCAACAACTTAGGTGACATAAATCTCCTCATTATAATGGTCCCTGTGCACTGTGGGGTATAGCGACATATGGCTGGGCCAGGCACAAAGCTGATGGTACTCTTTTGCTATGGCCATGTCCTACAAAGTGCATTATGACAAATTTCTGAGACTTCATCTAGGGGATTCTGCTCTCCTGCTTGGGTAATGCTTACCTGTATAGTGACATGTTGCTAGGTTAGGCACAAACGTAATGGTACCCCTTCACCAGGGCCTCAGTGGGACATTGTGACATATCTCTGGACCTATTACTTAGGTGATGTGACTTCGTGCTCTGGTCCTGCACACATACAGCATTGAAAAATAAGGGCAAACACTGCACTTATTTGCTCTAACTCTCTTGTCTGGGTCTTGTCCTAAGGGAGCCTTGTGACATAGCTCAGAATCCAACATCATGGTGATGTGGCTGTTTTGCCTGCTTTCACCTCACGTGTAAGATTGTGTCATATACCTAGGGAAGCACCTACATGATATGAGATATGACTCTTTTCTTCTGCTTGAGCCCTGCCTACTTGGGATATTTGGCCATATACCTGAGTTCATGTCCTAAGAGATGTGAACCTGTTTTCCTGCCAGAGGCTTTACAATGGGGTAACGTGAAATAATACTAAGCCCAATACTTACATAATATGACTCTTAATATTTTCCTGAACTGTCCCTATGAAGAGGAATTCTGACATATTGGCTGGCCCAGCACCCAGATGATGTTCCTCTGCTGCCTGGGTCCTTCATAAAGACAGAATTATGGCATATTATTAGGTCTGTAACGCGGATGATGTAATTCTCCTGCCTGTGCCACAGCAACAGAAAGTATTTTAACATATCTTGAGCCCATGTTGTAGGTGTGTTTGCTGTCATCAATTGTCTGTTTTTCTTTCACATTTGGGATTGTGTTATATTTCTGGGTCTAGTGTCCAGTTAATATAACCCTCATTTCTACCACCTGCCTAGAGGAGGCAGTGTGACATATTGCTTGGCAAAACACCTAATTTGTGCTAACCTCTTGTCAAGTTTTTTCCTAAAAACTGGATATTAAATTTACATTGCTTCTATTCAGAGTGATGATGATCAAATTTAAATTGGTATTACACCAATAGTAGATATTTTGCCTCTCATCTCTATGCTTACTGCAACAGTTAAGGTTATGAGTTGCGTATTTGTACAAAACTCAAAGAATGTTACAAAACTAACTCGTATTCTATAAACTTATTGGGTGGTACACTGAGTTTTGTAACATGGCCCAGGAAAAGGGTAAGATCATGATTCTTCATTACACTTGCAGGTGAGAGACAAAGTTGTCACCATCCCACATTTACAAAGGCCACTGTTGAAGTTCTGAGTCTAACAAGTAAATAAAGTACAAAGATGGAATTTTGACTTTGATATGTGGATCTTGCTACAGATGAGAGGGTGACTAATTTCTGGACCCAGATCACAGGCATAATAATTGGTCTCCCATCTGAACCCACCCTATAAGAGAGATGTTGACTATTATAACTGGGTTTAAAGCAGTATATAAGATTGTGAGTCAATACAACCATGCATGCCTCAGAGTGGATTGCTACTCTCATGCATGTTGCATAAACCCTTTGAATGCTGTAGAATGTGTCATGCAATGATCCAGATAACACATGAGATTGTGACTCTCACATACACCCCAAGCTAGCAGTTAAAGGTGTGATGCTAAGAGATGAAGAGATTGTGTCATATCTCTAGGCCCAGTACTCCTAGTTGTTGAGAAGTTTTGGCTTAAATTCTTTACCATGTTTGCATTGTGAATCATCGCTGGGTTAGAATAATAAAAAGGTGACTCTTCTGCTTGGATCCTGGAACCAGGGGATATTATCACATATCTCTGGGCCTACCAGGTAGGTGATGTGTCTCTCCACCCAGTGCCCTGCCTACAGGGGACACTGTGACATATTGCTAGGTATAGCATCTAGATAATGTGAATCTCCTCTCCTACCTGGATCCTCCCCACTAAAGAAATTGTGACATACAACTGAGTATAAAATCTAGGAGACGTAACTCTACCCTTTGTTCCATACTCTGTCAAGAGAGGGAAATATAATATATTGCTGAGCATAGCACCTAGGGGCTGTGACTATCCACTATTTTTCTCAACTATGTATGCAGTGGGCATGATGTCATATCATTTCAGATTGTACCCAGGTGATATGAGCCTTCTGACTGGGTTCTGCCTACAGAGGAGATTATAATATATGCCTTGTAAGGACCCAGATGATGTGACTTTTCTGTCTTGTCTGTACCCAAAAGTAAAATTGAGACTTATTTGTTAAATCAGTTAATATGCATAACAATAACTTTCATACATTGACCCAGCCAAAGGAGATATTTCCACTCTCATTGCCACTCTTACAGCCGTGGGTAAAGTCCTAGACCTCCCACCTGTAAGAATTCATGGAAAACCGTGCTACTCAGTTATATCACATAAATCTTCAGTGGTACAAAGAGTTTTATAACAGGCACCAACAATCAGATGCTATTTTGAGTCTTGGATGAACACCCAGCTGACACTGTTTTCATTCTCACACATAAACAGAGCCTATAAATGAGGTACTAACTCTCACACACATAAGCAGTCAAAATCTCAAAATTGTAACTCTTGTACATGAATCAGATCCACAGGTGGTTTTGTGACATATGAACCATTATTCAGCAAACCTGTGGTGCTTTGACTCTACTAATGGAGCACAATACTCAAGTGGGATTAGGGTTCTTATACATGCATCTTGCACATTTTTGAGATTGTGACTTCTGTATTTCAAACCAAATCGTAGATGTTGACTCTCCCACCCAAAGCCAGGATTGTGTGGGACTGTGAAATGTATTTCTGAACATTTTCGAGTGTGTGACTGAGAAGTATGACTTTGTCCAGCATCTGATTGTTTTGACTCTCCTTTCTAGACCCAGAGCACAGTTCAAATTGTGACATATGTGCACCAAGCAACTAAGTGATATACAACACCTTCTTTGGCAATGGGACCAAGGGCACTTTTACATATCTCTGAACACAGCACTCAGCTGATGTAAAATCTTGGTCTGAACCCTGCCTACAAAGAGCATTGTGGCTTTTATCAAGGTCCATCATATAAGTATGTGACTTCCTTATTCTGCCTTGGCCTTGCAGTTCTGGTGCATTGTTACACATAACTGGGTACTGCACCCATGTGATGTGACTGTTCATTTGGGGGTGTTCTACCAATAAAAAACTATATAACATAACACTTGGCTTAGCACCTAGGTGATGCTTATTCTCTCTTGACTGAGTCCTGACCACCAGAGAGATGGTGACATACAGCTGAAACCAGCACAAGGTGAGTTCACTCTCCTGCCTTGGTCCTAAACATAAGGGCCGTTGTGATATATATCCAGGCCAATTGCGTAGGTGATGATTGTCTCCTCTCCTGCTTAAGCCCTGCCCTCGGTGGAGGATTAGATACATCACTGAAATAAGCATCCAGGTGATGTAACTCTTCTTCTAGAGGCCTGTACACTACAAGGATTTTGACATTAAACTTGACCAGCACCCACTCAGGTGATGGGAATTTCCTTTTTTCTCCATGTTCACAGGAGGCATTGCAGCATATATGTGAGGCCAGATCAAAGGCTGAATAATGACCCTTGTACCTGGAGCCAGGATGTGCAGGATGGTGATTCTCCTCCCTGAACCTTTTTACAGGTATTATTATGACATTTATCTTTGCCAATCTCCTGAGTGATTTAATAATCCTCCTTAGTTATAGCCCACAGATGACATTTTGACATATACCTGGACATATAGTTAATTATTTGACTCTTGTGTCTTAACAGTGTCCTCAGAAGAGATCATAACATATTGCTGGATTCATCATCTAGGTTATGTGTCTCTCCTCTCCCGCCTGAACACTGATTACAGTGAAGATTGTAGCATTTCTCTGCACTGCATCCAAATGACATGATTCTGTTGCATGGGCCTTTTTCTTTTTTTAAAAAAAATTATTATTATATTTTAAGTTTAAGGGTACATGTGCACAACGTGCAGGTTTGTTATATATTTATACATGTGCCATGTTGGTGTGCTGCCCCCATTAACTCGCCATTTAACATTAGGCATATCTCCTAATGCTATCTCTCCACCCTCCCCCCACCCCACAATGGTCCCCAGTGTGTGATGTTCCCCTTCCTGTGTCCATGTGTTCTCATTTGTTCAATTCCCATCTATGAGTGAGAACATGCGATGTTTGGTTTTTTGTCCTTGCAATAGTTTGCTGAGAATGATGGTTTCCAGCTTCATCCATGTCCCTACAAAGGATATGAGCTCATCATTTTTTATGGCTGCATAGTATTCCACAATGTATATGTGCCACATTTTCTTAATCCAATCTGTGTTTGTTGGACATTTCGGTTGGTTCCAAGTCTTTGCTATTGTGAATAGTGCTGCAATAAACATATGTGTACATGTGTCTTTATAGCATCATGATTTATAATCCCTTGGGTATATATCTAGTAATAGGATGGCTGGGTCAAATGGTATTTCTAGTTCTAGATCCCTGAGGAATCACCGCACTGACTTCCACAATGATTGAACTAGTTTACAGTCCCACCAACAGTGTAACAGTGTTCCTATTTCTCCACATCCCATCCAGCACCTGTTGTTTCCTGACTTTTTAATGATCGCCATTCTAACTGGTGTGAGGTGGTATCTCATTGTGGTTTTGATTTGCATTTCTCTGATGGCCAGTGATGATGAGCATTTTTTCATGTGTTTTTTGGCTGCATAAATGTCCTCTTTTGAGAAGTGTCTGCTCATGTCGTTCGCCCACTTTTTGATGGTGTTGTTTGTTTTTTTCTTGTAAATTTGATTGAGTTCATTGTAGATTCTGGATGTTAGGCCTTTGTCAGATGAGTAGGTTGCAAAAATTTTCTCCCATTTTGTAGGTTGCCTGTTCACTCTGATGGTAGTTTCTTTTGCTGTGCAGAAGCCCTTTAGTTTAATTAGATCTCTTTTGTCAATTTTGGCTTCTGTTGTCATAGCTTTTGGTGTTTTAGACATGAAGTCCTTGCCCATGCCTATGTCCTGAATGGTATTGCCTAGGTTTTCTTCTAGGGTTTTAATGGTTTTACATCTAACATGTAAGTCTTTAGTCCATCTTGAATTAATTTTTGTATAAGGTGAAAGGAAGGGATCCAGTTTCAGCTTTCTGCATATGGCTAGCCAGTTTTGCCTGCACCATTTATTAACAGGAGGCATTGTGACATATCTCTGGGGCCATGATTTAGGTAATATGACTCTACTCTCCTTCCTGGACATTCACCACAAGGGACATTATGACATAGAGCTTTGCCTAGCACCCATGTCTTGTGAATTTTCTGTTAGACTCTTGCCATCAAAGAGAATTTTGGAAAAATTCTGGCTTAAAATTTAGGTGATGTGATTGTCCTCCCTGCTTAACAACCACAGAGGTAATGGTGACATTTACCTATGCACAGCTAACAAACATGATAATGACTGTAATATGGGGACCCAGCCAATAAGATAAATTTTGACTTTTGTCACAACATGAGTATTGTCAAGGATCTTCTTCTGATAAAATGGTCACAGAAAATTATAACAAACACAGATATTTTATAACACCCTTGGGCTATATAGAAGCTGTCATAATAATGTCTAGCACACAGAGAAAATTATGATGCACACTCATATGCATACTCAAATAACAGTAAGGACTTTCAACATCAAAGATGAATGAGAGCAACTATCCTACCTAAAAACGGGACATGTGTAGTATTGTAAATCTAATCCCTTGAATTTAATTACACTGTGAATGTGATATAAATCTTCCCCAAGCACCTGTGTAATTTCATTCTTCAGATTGGTTCCAACCTATATATGGAATTTTGATATCTACCTGGGCCAATTTTGAAGTGATATGACTCTTCTTCCTGGTCTCTGCTATCAGTAAAAATTGTGACATCACTGGATCCAGCACCAAGATGACATTACATTCTTGCCTTCACTATGCCCACAGATATCATTGTGACTTATCACTGTGTCCATCACTTAAAAGAGGATGCCAGGGCCATGCACAAAAGAGGACATTTTGACATATCACAGGCCTATCATATAGGTGCTATGGCTTTTCTACTTGGGACCTGCCCACTTGAATAGTGACACATTGCCAGGCCAGGCAAAAAGGTGATTGTACTCTTTTGCCAGGGTGATGCTTTAAAGAAGGCTTTATGACATATATCTGAGCCTATCACCTAGGTGATGTGACTTCCTGCTTGGCCCTGTCCACAAGGAACTTCATGATATAAGGGTGGAATTTACACCTAGGTGATGTGTCTTTTTCCTGGGTCCTGTTCTAAGGGGGACTTGTGAACATCTCGGGATGCAGGACCAGATCATGTGGCTCTTCAACGTGGTTTCTACCCTTATATTAATTTGTGATATCTAAATAAAGAAGCACCTATGTAATATGACTCCCTCTTTCTGCCTGAGCCTTGGCTACTGGTGACATTGGGCCATATCTCTGAGCCCATGACTTAAGTGATGTGAGTCTCTGTTTATCTCTGGGCCTTTACAATAGGAAGACTGTGACATATGGATAAGCCAAGCACTTAGGTAATGTGACTCTCAACTTGTTGCTGAATAGCACCCATGAAAAGGACTTTTGCCATATTTCAGGCCCAGCCCACACATGATGTTACTATTCTTCATAGGTCGTGCATAAAGAGAAAATTATAGCATATTGCTCCACCCAACTCCCTAATGATATGACTCTTCTGCCTATGCCAGAGCCACAGAAGGTAGTTTAACATATCTTTGGTTTATTCTGTAGGTTTTTTTTGTCTCTGACCACTTTGTTGGCTTTCTTTCATGTGTGGTTGTATCATTTTGCTTGCTCCTGCCATCAACTAATGTGACCCTATTTCCTAGGCCCTGCCTAAATAGGGCATTACGACATATTGCTTGGCACAGCACCTAAGTGATATTAACCTTCTGCCTAGTTTTTTGCCCTCAAGTGGGATTATGATATATACCTTGATTCAGTTCAAAGACATGGTGATCAAGCTTATATTGGGATTCAACCAGCAGGAGATATTTTGCCTCTCTCCACTAGGTTTTGGTCAATAGGAAAGATCTTCCATTGCATATTTGTACAAATCTCACAGAAGCTTACAAAACTAACTCATATCATAAAAACTTCTTGAGTGGTACAGGAAGGTTCACAATGGGACCCAACAAAAAGTTAAAATGGTGACTTTCACCTACACACTCAGTTGAAAATAAAAGTTTTTACTATCCTACATTTACAAAACCCATTGTTGAGGTCCTGGGCCTAACAAGTCAATACAGCACCAAGTTAGAATTGTGACATTCATAAATGAATATGGTCACAGGTGAAATGATGACTAATTTCTGGGCCTAGGTCACAGGCATAATAGTAGTCTCATCCCTGAAGCCAGCATATAGGAGAGATGTTGACTGTTATCCCTGAGTTTAGGGCAATACGTAAGATCATGAATCCATATAAGCATGTAGGTCTCAGAGAGTTTTGGAACCCTCATACATGTTTTATAAACATCTCAGGAGTTGTAAAGAGTGCCATACAATAAACAGCACACATGTTAGATTTTGACTATCATATGCACAACTAGATAACAGTTAATGGTGTCATCCTTAATAATGAGGTGATTGTGTCATAACTTTGGCAAAGTAAACCAGTGTTGAGACTGTTTGGTTGAAATTCCTTTTTCATAAGGGGATTGTTACATATCACTGGGTTTGAATATTGATATAGTGACTCTTCTGTAGGAGCTCTGCAAACAGAGAATATTTTCACATATCTCCAGGCCTGTTGGCTAGATGATTTGTCTCTCCTGCCCATGCCCTGCCCAAAGGAGACACTGTGACATATTGATAGATATAGCATCTAGGTAATGTGACTCATCCCTCCTGCCTGGATCCTGCCCACTGAAAAAATTTTGATATACCACTGAGTGCAAAACCTAAGTGACATGACTTTTTTTTTGTCCTGGACCCAACAAAGAGAGGTAATTATTACACATTGCTGATCCCAGCCCCCAGGTAGTGTGATTCTCTTTTTATTTCTTTAAACCTCTCTTCATTGGGCATGGTGAGATATTACTTGAGGCAGTATGCAGATGGTGTGGCTCTTCTGCCTGCTTTCTGCCCACTTCTTAGATTGTGACATATAAGTAGGGAAGCAGCTAGGTGATGTGACTGTCCTTTTCTTCCTGGGTCCTGCTTACTGGGGACACTAGGATATATCTCTGAGCCCATGACCTAAATGAAGTGATTCTCTTCTTCTGCTTGGTCTTTACAATGGGGGGATGCTGATGTACTGCTGAGCTCAGGACTCAGGTTATTTGACTCTCCTTTTTCTCTTGAACCATGCCAAGAACAGACATTGCAGAGTACGACACCCAGATACTGTTACTCGTTTACCTGGGTCCTCTATATCCAGAATATTATGGGATATTGCTGGGCCCAGAACCCTGATAACATGACTCTCATGACTGTGCGGAATACCAGAAGGTATTTTGACATACCCTGGGCCCATTGTTTTGGCTCTTACCATTTGGCTGGTTCTTTTTTCTTTTTTATTCCCCACATGTGGGATTGTGCCATATTGCTGAGTCCAGAATGCAGTAAGTGTGACTCTAATTCTTACACCCTGCCTAGAGAGGTCATTGTGCCATGTTGCTTGTCAGAGGACCTAAGTGATATTACCCTCTGGGTTAGTTTTTCTGTCCACAAATGGGACTATGATATATAACTTACTACAGTTTACATGCATGATTGTCAAATTTATATTTGGATTTAGCCAATAGGAGATATGCTGTCTTTCATTGCTAGGACTAGGGCAATAGGTAACGTCCTGGGTTGCATGTTTGTACCAAGCTCACAGAGCTTTACAACACTAAATCATAATGTAAAATCTCCTTAAGTACAACACAGAGTTTTATGACAAGGATCAGCAAAATTTCAGAGTTGGACTCTGGATTACACACCCAGGTGAAAGTAAATGCTGCCACCACCCTATATGTCCAAAGCCCACTGTTAGGGTCCTGAGTCTAACAAGTGAATGCAGTACACCATTGGAATTGTTACTTTCATATGTGGATCTGGTCACAGTTGGGATGGTGACTCACTTCTGGATCCAGCTCACAAATATAAAAATGGGTCTCATTCCTGACCCCAGCCTACAGAAGAAATTTTGACTATTATACCTGGCTTTAGGAAAATATGTAAGGTTGTGAATCCATAGGAACATGTAAGCCTCAGAGTGGTTTGCAACTCTCACACATGACTTCAAATGTTGTACAGTATTATACAATGGTCCAGGAAACACGGGAGATTGTGAATCTCATATACATACCCAACTCACAGTTATTAGGGTCACTCTAAAAGACAAGGAGATTTGGCCTCTTACTAGGCCTAGTACCCGGGTGTTGAGACTTTTTGTATTAAATTTCTTTTTATGGGTGTGTTGTGACATATTGCTGGGTTAGAATCATAAAAAGTGACTATTTTGCCTGGACCTGGCAACAGGGGATATTATCATATATCTCTTAGCCTATAAGCTAGGTGATTTGTTTCTTCTGCCTGTGTCAAGCCCCCAGAAGACATTGTGAAATATCATTTGGTGTAACATCTAGGTAATATGTCTCTCCTCTCCTGCGGCGTCCTGCACACCAAAGAAATTGTGACATACTGCTGACTTTAAAACCTAAATAATGTGACTCTCCTTCATATTCTAGACCCTGCCAAGAGAGGTGGTTATTACATATTGCAGAGCCCAGCACCTAGGTTAAGTGATACTCTTCGTCTTCTTCTTTTGTTTTTGTCTTTGTTTTGAGACAGAGTCTCACACTGTACCTCAGTCTGGAGTGCAGAGGTACAATCTCGAAATACTGCAACCTCCATCTTTAGGATTCATGTGATCCTCATTTATCAGCCTCCTGAGTAGTTGGTATTACAGGTGCTTGCCACCAGGCCTAGTTAATTATTGTCTTTCTTGTAAAGAATGGGTTTTACTATGTTGGCCAGACTAGTCACAAAATCTTGACCTCGTGATCTGCCTGCCTTGGATTCTCAAAGTGCTGCAATTACACACATGAGCTACTGCACCCAGTGGACTCTCCTCTTCATCTTCTACCCTGTCTATAGTGGGCTTGATGACTTACTCTTTGACGATTTACCCAAGTGATGTGAATCTGCTAACTAGGCCCATCCTACAAATGAGATTATATTGTGTCACTGGCTCAGCACCCAGGTGATGAGACTCCCCTGTCTTGTCTCTGCTCACAGCCAAGATTGTGACATATACCTGGGTTAAACAAACATGCACAATAAAAAGTCTTATTCCTGGACCTAGTCAGTAGAGATGTTTTGACTCTCATAGCCAGTCTCACAGTCATGGATAAAGTCCTGGGATTTTTACAATTATAAGTTTCTAGAAAAATTATAACTCTAAAGTATATCATATAAACCTCAATGGGACAAAGGGTTTCATAACAGAGGCCATCACCGAGGTGAGATTGTGACCATCATATGTGCACAGAGCTGACATGATTGTCTTTCTCACACATGAACAGCGCTTATATATGAGGTACTGAATCTCACACTTAAAAAGCAGCCAAAGGTTAAGTAACTACTCTCATACATGGCTCTGATTCACAAGTGATTTGGTAACATGTGAACCTTGATTCATCACACCTGTGGGGCTGTGACTCCTTTCCTGAAACACAATCTTCAATTGAAATTGGGGCTCTTATACATGAATCTTGCCCATTGTTGAGATTGTGACCCCTCTACTTTGACACAACTTACAGAAAGTATTGAATCACATACATGAATCCAGCACTTATGTGGGATGTGAAACTTATTTCGGAATGATTCTGAGAGTGTAATTGCCCAGCACATGAATAATTTGACTCACTTTTCTAGGACCAGACCACAGATAAAATTGTGCCATATGAGGAAAAACACCTAAGCAATAGGTAACATATGCCTTGGCTCTGCCTACAGAGTTCACTTTTATAAATCACTGTGACCATCACCCAGGTGATGTGAATTATCTGCCTGAAACCTGCATACAAAGAAAAGTGTGTCTTATATCTAGGTCCATCACCTAAGTGATGTGACTCCCTTCTACTGCCTTGGTCCTGTACTTACAGTGCATTGTGACATGTAGCTGGAAACTGTACCCAGATTATGTGATTCTGTTTTTTGGGTACTGCCAACAGGAAGCATTGTAACATGTCACTTGGCTCAGCACATAGGTGATGTTTTTTTGCTTTTGCCTGGGTTCTGACCACAGAGATATTGTTAGATATTGCTTGAGCCAGCACAAAGGTGAAGTCACTCTCCAGGCTTGGTACTGAACTTTACAGACATTGTGAAATATATCTATGTCAATTGCCTAGGTAAAGTGAGTCTCCTTTCTTGCCAAAGTCCTGCACACAGAAGGGGTTTAGCTATGTTGCTAAAACCAGTATCCAGGTAGTGTGACTCTTCTGCCAGTGTTCTGCCCACAAGGTGGATTGTGACATCTAACTGGACCCACAACCATGTAGGTGATGTGAGTTTCTTACTTTCTGTCTGCCACAGGTGATATTGTGTCATATACCTGAGACCATTAAAAAAAGCCTATTAACAACTAATATGCCAAAATCCAGGACATTTTCAGGGTGGTGACTTTTATTATTAAACTTTTCCATTGGAATTGTGACATATACCTTTGTCCAGTTCCTGAGTGATTTTGTAATACTGCTTAGGTATAGCTCACAAATAAGATTTTGACAAATACCTGGGGCAAGCACCTTGGTGATTTAACGTACTATCTTAGCAATGTCCTCATGAGACTTGTAACATATTTCTGGAGCTATTGTCTAGGTTACATGACTCTCCTCTCCTGCTTGGACCCTAATTCTTTTGGTAATTGGAGCATTTCTAAACTTGGCATCCAAATGATAAGACATTCTTCCCTGGGACCTGTCAACAAGAGGCATCACAACATGTTTTGGGGCCCATGATTTAGGTGATATGACAGTCCTCTCCTGCCTGGACACTGCCAACATGGGATGTTGTGCCACAGAGCTGGACCTAGTACAGAATTTAAGTGACATTTCTGACAGAACCCTGCCTACATAAAGATAATTGGAATATTTCTGGGCCAGCATTTAGGTGATGAGACTGTTCTGCCTGCTTCAAAACTACAGGGGGGATTGTAATATATACCTAGGAATGGCTCACAGGCATGATAATGGCTCTCATATGTAGACTTAGCCAATAGATGCCATTTTGACTCACAACTAGGTTTAGGGACATGCTTGATGTCCTAAATTACCTTTTTTGTACAAAGGTTACAAAATATTACAACACTCACACATATTTTACAAAGTCTTTGAGTTATTACAGACAGAGTAAAAGCAGGGCTCAGGACACAGGTGAAATTGTGAGTCTTGTATGCACACCCAGGTGACAGTAAGGACTGTCCTCATCACACATAGATGAAGTCAAATGTCACGCATGAAAACAGGACATTTGTGATATTATAAATCTCATCTTTGGAATTTTCTGACAGTATGATTGTGATATTAATTTTTGCCAAGCACATGAGTAATTTGACTCTCCACACTTGTTCCAGGCATATGTGGGATTTTGATTTCTACCTAGCCCAACCTCAAGGTGAGGTGACTCTACTCCCTGGGCCCTTCTCTAAGTAAGTGTTGTGATATATCACTGGATCTAGCATCCACACGATGTTACAATCTTGCCAGCTCCATGCCTACCAAAACCATTGTAACAGTTTTTTGTGTCCACCACATGGGTGATGTAAATCCTCTCTGAAATAGGCCCTATACAAAGAAAGGATAGTTACATAATGAAAGCCCAGGCACACAGGAAATGGTACTCTTTTGCCAGAGTACCATCCTTAGAGCCATGCTTTAAGGAGGGCAGTTTAGTACATCTCTCGGCCTATTACCTAGGTGATGTGGCTTTCCTGCTTGGGCCCTCCCAACCTGAAGAGTGACATGTTTCTAATCCAGGCACACAGTTGATGGTACCCTTTTGCCAGGGCTATGCTTCATAGATGACTTTGTGACTGACATATCTCTGGGCCTATCTGTCACTTAGGTGAAGTGACTCCCTCCTTGGGGCCCAACTCATGGAATATTGCAGCATAAGCAGAGAACATGCATGTTCATGATGTAAATCTCTAACTTGGGTGGTGTCCTAAGAGATCCTGTGACATATCTCTGAACCCAACACCCAAGTAACGTAGCTCTGTCGTCTGATGTCTGCCCACCTGATACCTTGTGACACAATCCATGGGAAGCAACTAGGTGATACGGGTCTCCTATTCTGCCTGAGGCCTGCATACTGGGGACATTGGGGCATATCTCTGAGACCATGATCTAAATGATGTGACTCTCATTTTCTGCCTGGGCCTTCACAGTTGGAGTATTTTGGCACATTGCTGAGCCTAGCACTCATGATATGTGACTCTCCCCTTTTTCCTGAACTGTATCCACAAAAAAGGAATTTTGTCCTTTTACAGGGCCCATAACCCAGATGATATCACTCTTCTGCTTTGGTTCTGCATAGAAAGGAAATGATGACATATTGCATATGGCTAGGCCCAGCTCCCTTATGATGTGACTCTCCTGCTTGTGTTTGAGCCAGTGAAGGTATTTTGACATCTTAGCCTAATTATGTAGGTGTTTTGGCTATCACAACTTGGTTGGGTTTTTTTCCACATGTGGAATGATGTCATATTGCTTGGTCAACACCCAGTTAATGTGACCCAATTTCTTATACCATACCTAGAGAAGATATTATGATGTTATGTATGGCACAGTAACTCAACGATATCACCCTCCTCCCTAGTTTTTTGTCCACATGTGGTATTATGACATATAGCTTTCTTCAGTTCACAGGCATGATGATCAAACTTATATTAGGATTCAGCCAATAGCATATCTTTTGCTTCTCAGTGTTAATCTTAGGGGATTAGATTAGGTCTAGGTTTTATATTTTTACCAAGCTCACAGAAGCTTACAACACTAACTTATATTGTATAAACTCTTTGGTAGTAGAGAATTTCATGGGTCTTTTGATGATGAATGATTCAACACACTGGTAAGGCTGTTACTACCCTACTGGAACACAATCTTCAAATGAGATTGGGCCTCCTATTCATGAATCTTGCCCATTGTTGTGATTGTGTCTCATATACTTTGACCAACTCATAGAAAGTGTTGACTCACATACACAAAACCAAGACTTATGTGCGATGTGAAAGTTATTTCTAAAACTTTCTGAGATAGTGATTGTGACAGGTAACTTTGTCCTGCATATGAATAATTTGACTCTTTTTTCTAGGACTGGACCACAGAAGAAATTATGCCCTATGTGGAACAAGCAACCTAGCAATATATTACAACTTTCATGGCTCTGCCTACAAATGGCAATTTTATACATCATTTGGACCATCACCCAGGTGATGAGAATTATCTGCTTGAAACCTCCTCCAAAGAGAATTGTGTTTCATATCTAGGTCTACCACATAAGTGATGTGAATCCCTTCTACTGCATTAGTCCTTCACTCACAGTGCACTGTGACAATAACTGGGTACTGCACATAGGTGATGTGATTCTCCTTTTTGGGTTCTGTCAACAGAAAGTGATGTAACATCTCACTTGGCTCAGCACCTATGTGATGTTTCTTCACTTTTGATTGGGACCTGACCACAGGAAGATTGTGACATGTTGCTGGGGCTGGAAACAATGTGAAGACACTCTCCAGCATTGGTACTGCACATCACAGACATTGTGAGATATATGTAGGCTAATTGATTAGGTTAAATGAGTCTCCTCTCTTTCTAGAGTGCTGCCGAGAGAGGAATTTTAGATATGCCACTGCAATCAGCATACAGGTGATGTGACTTTTCTGCCAGGGTCCTGCCCAGAAGGTGGAATGTGACATCTCACTGGCGCCATCTCGACATAGGTGAGGTGACTTTCTTGACTTCTTTATCACCACAGATGATACTGTGCAATAAAACAGAGATAATAACAAAAGCCTAATAACAACTCATATGCCTGGCTTCAAGACAGGTGCAGGATGCTGATGCTTATTCTTAAACCTTTCCACAAGTGTAATTGTGACATGTACTTTTGCCCAGCTCCTGAATTGTGGGAAAGAGAGTTTCTGGGGTGCCAGATGGGTTGGTCTCCTCTGTGTGACACACCCATGGGAAGCCATGGGTGACCTCTGAGGAGAAATGTCTTCTTATTGCCTTCATGTCTTTATGCCCCAAGAGCATAACAGCTCCGTGGCTTTCCACAGGTTGATCAGGGAGATAGCATTCCCTCGAAGTAATGGAGTATAATCTTACATCGTGGCTCCTCCTGAAACCCATTCCCACCCATTTCAGTCCAGATAGGTTAAACATCTTAAGTAGTTTAGACACATGCCTTTGTTCAAAGAAATTCACAGAAATCTCCAATGCTATACATCTTATTGAATGACTCATGAGTTCTCCTTCATTGATTATTCCTTTTCTTATCCCTTCCTACCCCTCCCATCTGACCTAAGAATAAATAGCTTGTAAACCAATTCATTAGGCAGAGCCAAAGTGCTCAGGGCTGTGAGCAATCCTCCGATGCTCTGGTCCCCTGGATGAACCTTTTAAATGCTTATTCTGTTTCTTTCTAACTCCTTTGTCTCCGCTGGACTCAGGGAACCTGCTGGGTGGTGTGGGGCTGGTTTCTGCAACACTGAGTGATTTAATATTGCTGCCTAGGTAGAGCTCATAAATGAGTTTTTGACAAATAGCTGTGCCACATATATTAGTGATTGCTCTTTGCTATCTTAACAATGTCCTCAGGGGGAGATTGTAACATATTTATGGACACATCTTCTAGGTTACATGCCTCTCCTCTCCTGCCTGAACCCTGCTTCCTTTGGTAATTTTAGCTTTTCTAAACATTGCATCCAAATGATATGAATTTCTTGTTTGGGCCCTGCAAACAGGTGGCATTGTGACATATGTTTGGGCCAATCATTTAGGTTACATAACTCTCCCGTCCTACCACACTGCCCACAAAGGACATTGTGGCACAGAGCTGAACCTAGCACACAAGATAGGTAAAATTTCTGATAGCACCGTGTCTACCAAGAGAATATTGAAGTATTTCTAGCCCAGAATTTAGGTGATGTAGCTGTTCTGCCTGCTTCATAACCACAGAGGGTATTGTAACATATACCTAGGCATGGCTCACAAGAATGATAATGAATCTCATATGTAGACTCAGCCAATAGAGAAAAAATATATATAATATTTATATATAATATGTAAATATATATTATAATATATATTTACATATTATATATAAATATATATAATATGTATATAATATATAAACATATAAATATATAAATATATATAATATATAATAAAATATATATTTATATATTTATAGTATATTATAAAATATATATATTATAATATATATTTTATGTGTATGAATATATTATAAAATACATGTATGTGTGTATATATATATATTTTTTTGAGACAGAGTATTGCTCTCTTGCCCAGGCTTGTGTGCTGTGGTGCGATCTCAGCTCACTGCAACCTCCGCATCCCAGGTTCACCCTATTCTCCTGACTCAGCCTCCCGAGTAACTGGGACTAAAGGCATCCACCACAAGTCCTGGCTAATTTTTTGTATTTTTAGTGGAGACGGGATTTTACTGTGTTAGCCAGGATGGTCTCGATCTCCTGACCTCGTGATCTGCCAGCTCGGCCTCCCAAAGTGCTGGGATTACAGGCATGAGCCACCGCCCCTGGCCGAGAATATTTTGACTCATAACTAACTTTAGGGACAGGCATGATGTCTTGGATCACAATCTTCTGCAGAGGCACAAAAGATTACAACACTCACACATATTTTACAAAGTCTTTAGATTATACAGACTCAACACACAGGTGAATTTGTGAGTCCTGTAAACACACAAAGCTGTGAGTAAGGGCTGTCATTATCTCACATGGATTAAGCCAGCTGTCACACATAAAAGCAAGATGTGTGGTATTGTAAATCTCACCTTTGGAATTTTCTGAAAATGTGATCATGATATAAATTTTTGCGAAACTCCTTTATAATTTGATTATGCAGAATGGTTCTATGGGACTATGATATCTACCTAGGCCAAACTCTAGGTGATACGACTCTCCTATCTGGGCCTTTCTCCAAGTAAGGATTGCAATATACCACTGGATCTAGCACCCAGTTAATGTTACATTCTTGCTTGTGCCATGCCCACCCAAATCATTGTGACATATTTCTGTGTCCACCTCATAGGTGATGTAACTCTTTTCTCCAGAATGGGCCGTGCACAAAGGAAGTATAGTGACATATTGCCAAGCCAGACCCACAGGCAAGGATACTCTTTTGCCAGAGCCATGCCCAAAGGACTGCATTTTGACATATCTCTGGACCTATCACCTAGGGTATGTAGCTCTCCTGCTTGGGCCCTGCCAAACTTGAGATTGAAATATTTCTTGGCCAGGCAGACAGGTAGTAGTACTCTTTTTTCAGGGCTATGCCACATAGAGGGTCTTGTGATATATCTCTGGACAATCTTCTAGGTGAAATGACCCATTTTTTGGGCCCTACCCACATGGAACATTGTGGCATAAGCAGAGAAATTGCACTTAGGTGAAATAACTCTTTGCTGGGTGCTGTTTTAAGAGATTCTTGTGCCATATCTCAGGATACAGTAGCCAAGTGATGTGACTATTCTGTCTGATTTCTGACCACATGTTGGCTTGTGACATCTTCCAAGGGAAGTACGTAAGTGATATGGCTCTCATTGCTTGCCTGAGCCCTGCATACTGGGAACATTATGACACATCTCTGAGCCTATGACTTAAGTGCTGTGACTCATTTTCTGCCTGGGACTTCACAATAGGGGGATTTTGGCACATTACTCAGCCCAGCACCCACAATATGTGACTCTCCCTTTTTTCCTGAATTATGCCACAATGAAATGAATTTTGACCTATTGCAGGGCCCATAACACAGATGATGTCACTCTACAACCTTGCTTCTGCATAAAGAGAAAATTATGACATACCGTGTATTGCTGGGCCTAGCACTTCTATGATGTGACTCTTCTTCCTGAGCTCAAGCGAATGAAAGTATTTTGACATATCTTAAGCCCATTATGTAGGTGTTTTGGCTCTCATAACTTGGCTGTTTTTTTTCCACATGTGGGGTGGTGTCATATTGACAGGTCTAGGACTCAGTTAATTTGACCCAATTTCTTGTACCATGCCTAGAAAAGGCATTGTTACATATTCCCTGACATAGCATCTAAGTGATATTACCCTTCTGACTAATTTTTTGCTCATATATGGGATGATGACATATACCTTTCTTCAGTTCACAGCCATGATAATGAAACTTACATTGGGATTCAGACAATAAAAAATATTTTTCCTCTCAGTGTTAGGCTTAGGGCAATAGGTAAAGTCCTGGGTTGCATATTTTTACCAAGCTCACAGAAGTTTATAACACTAACTTACATTGTATAAACTCTGGTGGTAGAGCGTTTTATAACAGGGCCCAGCAAAAAGTTCAGATTGGGACTCTTGTTTACAAACCCAGATGAAATTAAAGTTGTCACCATCCCACATTTACAAAGCCCACTGTAGAAGTTCTGAGTCTAATGAGGAAATACATCACAAAGTTGGAATTTGGACCTCCTTATGTGGATCTGGACACAGGTGGGATGGTAACTCATTTCTGAACTGAGTCCACAAGCATGATAATGGGTGTTCCCGGCCAGGCGCTGTGGCTCACACCTGCAATCCCAGCACTTTGGGAGGCCGAGGTGGGTGGATCATGAGTTGAGGAGATCAAGATCATCCTGGCTAATATGGTGAAATCCCATCTGTGGTAAAAATACAAAAACATAGCTGGGTGTTGTGGCACATGCCCCTAGTACCAGCTACCTGGGAAGCTAAGGCAGGATTATCATTTGAACCCAAGAGGTAGAGGTTGCAATGAGCAGAGATGGCATCAGTGCACTCCAGCCTGGGTGACACAGTGAGACCCCATCTCAAAATAAATAAATAAATTATAAGATGTGTCTCCTCTTTTAACTCTGCCTATAGAACAGATGTTGAGTGTCATAACTGGGTTTAGGGCAATGAACACCTGGGCCTCAGAGAGGTTTGAAACTCTGATACAGGTTTTATAAAGCCCTTGGATGTTTTTGATAGTGTCCTGTATTGGTCGAGCACACATGTGAGATTGTGGCTCTAATATACATTCTCAACTAAAGGTTAAACCTGTCATCCTCAAAGATGATGGGATTGTGTCATATCACAGGGTCTAGTACAGTGGTGTTGAGACATTTTGCCTCAAATTGCTTTCCATGGGTGCACTGTTACATATCACCAGGTCAGAATCATAATAATGTTCCTCTTCTGCCTGGTGCAGTAAACAGAGGATATTATCACATATATCTGGGTCTTTCCCTAGGTGGTTTTTCTCTCCTTCCTGTGCCCAGCTCCCAGAGAACATTTTGAAATATCACTGAAACTAGCAACTAGGTAATGTAGCTCTCCTCTCCTGCCTGTGTCCTAAGCCCAAAGGAAATGTGACATGTGGCTGTCTCTCCTCTCTATTCAAGAGTATATGTCTGTGCCACATTCTATTTAATTACTTTGGTATTCTACCTTTATACCAGTACCAAAGTGCTTTGATTACTGCAGATTTGTGTGTGTGTGTTTGGAAATTTTTATGTGTAATGATTCTAATATTTTTTGTCAGGCTTTTCATGGTCCCTTAATATCTTACATAACTTTTTTGTTTTTTTTTTCTATTTTTGAAAAACTCAAATTTAAAATTGAAACTGGATGTGTAGGTGGTTTTTCTTTCCTGTCTGTACCCTGCCCCCAGAGAACATTTTGAAATATCAATGAAACTAGCATCTAGGTAAAGTAGCTCTCCTCTCCTGCCTGTGTCATAAAGGGAATGTGACAAACGGCTGAATGTAAAATACAGGTGGCATGTCTCTCCTCTCTATTCAGGAGTATACACCTGTGCTACATTCTATTTCATTGCTTTGGTATTCCACCTTTATACCAGTACCAAAGTGCTTTGATTACTGCAGATTTGTGTGTGTGTGTTTGAAAATTGTTATGTGTAATGCTTCTAATATTTTTCTTCTCTTAAAGTTTGTCAGGTTTTTCACGGTCCCTTAAGATCTTAAATAATTTAGTGGGGTTTTTTTTTCTATTTTTGAAAACTCAAATTTAAAATTGAAAAGGGGTGTGTTTTATATCTGAGTTACACTAAGCAGCATGGACACATCAAAATATTATGTCTTCCAACCCTTAAAAAGAGCATGCCCAAAATATGTTGTTGGCCAGGTGTGGTGGCTCATGCCTATAGGCTGAGCACTTTGGAATGCTAAGGAGGGTGCATGGAGAGTTCAGGATTTTGAGATCCTCCTGGCCAACATGGTGAAATCCCGTCTCTACTAAAATAAAAAAAAATGTACTTTATGGTTGTTTGTGTGACTGTATTGTCAGCTACTCGGGACAAGTGGTGGTTTGTGGGCCTGTATTCCCAGCTACTTGAAAGGGTGATGCCGATGAATTGCTTGAACCCATGAGTTGGAGGTTGCAGTTAGCTGAATTTGTGCCGCTGATTCAGCCTAGGAACAGAGCAATACTCCATCTCAAAAAAAAAAAAAATTCTGTTATGAATTTCTAGTTTTATTCCATTTGGTCTATAAATAATTGTAAAATTTTAATTTAAAAAAATGTTAGCTCTTCTTTTGTGGTGTCGCTCATGGTCCATCTAGGAAAATGTTTTATTAGCTATTGAAAAAAAAATGGGTATTCTGTTTTCTATAAATATTTGTTAGGTGTAATTATTATACATTACATTCAAGTTGTTTCCTCCCTCATTGATATTCTGTCTTGCTTTATTTATTCCTAAAAGTGAGATATTGATTTACACTTCCATTATTATATTGCTGTCCATTTTGGTTTCAATTCTGTCAATGTTTACTTAATGTATTTCAGAAAACTTTCATATATTTACAGGCTGTTAGTGAATGAACCCTCTTATTACAATTGAATGTCTTACTTTGTCTCTTGTAAATATTGCCTTGATGTAAATTATATGAAATATGAGAGTTTTCAACTTAATAACTTGTTGCCTCTTTTCCTCTCATTTGGTTAACATTGCTTTGAATGTATTTCTCATCCTGCCATTTTCATTATTTTTATTATTATTAGATCTGAAGTGAGTCTCTTGAAAACACGACATAGTTTGATCTTGATATAGATCATGATATAGTTAGACTTTTTTACCCAAAGGATAAAAAAGGATACTTTGGCTGGGTATAATATTCTTGCTTAGACTTTTTTTTTTTTTTTTCAGAGTTTTAACTATGTCATCCTACTCCCTTCTTGCCCAAATGATTTATGTTCATAAATTTACGGGTAATTTTGCAGAAGCATGCATATAAATAACATGTCTCTTTTATCTTCTTGCATTCCAGATTCTCTTCTTGTCTGTCAATTTCAAAACATTGCTTATGTTGTGTCTTGTTAGAAATATCTTTGTGTTAATCTTAGTTGTCATTTGCTGAGCTTCTTCATTTTCTTACATTTTTTACTAACGTTGAAGTCCCTGTTAGTTTTTTTGGTACTTCTACTCTACAGTTTTTATTACTTTTTGTGATTTTTATTTTTTGTGAATTCCTTTTGGTTATTCCATTTTGATTTCTTTATTTCCATTTTACTCCTCGAGATGGTAATATTGATATTTTAGGATAATTTATTTTTTTCTTTTGAAAATAGATCAGACTTGAATTCAAATTGTCATAAGTAATTTTAAAATCTCCATTTTTTAAATAATTGTGTTCTGTATATTCATTTTTGTCTTTGCTTGATCCATATTATCTTGATGTTTTCCATATGTTGTAATCTTAGATGGCAATTTGTATAGTAAAAAGCCACATGTTAAAATCTTAAGTGGCTTTTTTTCTGTGCGAATATGATACCAATATTTTAGACTAGAGATATCTGAGTCTCTTAAGACTCTTCTATAAATGTTTTCTCCGATCTTGTGTGTTTTGTAACTTAAAAAGTTTCCCCATGTTGGTGTTTTTTTTAATTTTTTTTTGGATGGAGTCTCATTCTGTTGCCCAGGCTGGAGTGCAGTGGCAGAATCTCAGCTCACTGCAAGCTCCACCTCCCAGGTTCATGCCATTCTCCTGCTTCAGCCTCCCAAGTAGCTGGGGCTAGAGGTTCCTGCCACCACGCCCGGCTAATTTTTGTATTTTTGGTAGAGATGGGGTTTCACCTTGTTAGCCAGGATGGTCTCGATTTCCTGACCTTGTGATCCAGCCACCTCGGCCTCCCAAAGTTCTGGCATTACAAGCATGAGCCACCACGCCCACCCTCCTTTCTTTCTTTCTTTCTTTCTTTCTTTCTTTCTTTCTTTCTTTCTTTCTTTCTTTCTTTCTTTCCTTCCTTTTCTTTCTTTCATTGGAGTTTCATTCCTGTTGCTCAGTCTGCAGTGCAATGGCTCAATCTTGACTCACAGTAACCTCCACCACCCAGGTTCAGGTGATTCTCCAGCCCCAGCCTCCTGAGCAGCTCACATTAGAGGCAGCTGCCATGATGGCTGCCAAATTTTTGAATTTTTTAAAGAGACAATGTTTCACCATGTTAATCTGGCTTGTCTTGAATTTCTCACCTCAGGTGATTTGCCTGCCTCAGCTTCCCAAAGTACTGATATTGCAGGCATAAGTGACCACTCCTGGCATTCTCCATATTTCTTATTGGGATCCTGTAGTCATTTGCTACATCTATTGTCTCTCTGTGACAATGAAGTCTTTCTTCTCTTGTAACAGTCACTTACCTTTGATCTCAGCTGTCCCAAACTGTTAAAGTATACCACCTTTCTTTTCAACACTGTCATAAAATATAAAAATTATTGTTTGGTAAGTTTTCAAAAAGCCAGAAGTATGGACCAGGTGCCACTATTTTATTTATTTTTGGAGGGTGGAGACTGAAATTGGGAGTCTCTATTTAAAGTCATCATAGAATGATGATGACTGTCATGCATAAATAAGGAACACTTTTATTGCACTTCAATGTGGTTGTTCTCATTTTGCTCACTTGGGGAGCTGCAATGCTTAACTGGTTCTTAGACTTCTCACAAAGGCATTTTGGTCATTGTATTCCTGTTAAGTTTATATGTCTATAAAGAAATTAGGGTCTGTTGTATTTTATTGTCACCTCATTAGTGTGTTTTGTTTAATTATATATTTGTAAAGTGTATTCACCTAAGTCTAATGAGGGATAAATTTTGTGAGGTTTTTTTTCATCTTGATCTTTTCATTTTACTGCAGAGATATTACCAGATCAAGACATGAAGGGTTCATTTAAAAAGTGATTCTAAGAAAATATGGAACCTGTGGCTTTAATAATTTACATTGAAAGAAAGACTACCAATGTGTTGGTAATTACAAGGGGCAGTGTTGTGGAAAGTCAGGAACCCCAAATGGAGGGACCAGCTGAAACCATGTCAGAAGAACATAAATTGTGAAGATTTTATGGACATTTATTAGTTCCCCAAAATTACTACTTTTTTAATTTCTTATGCCTGTCTTTACTGCAGTCTCTGAAGAGAAATTGTGAAGATTTCCTGGACACTTATCACTTTCCCAATCAATTCCCTTGTGATTTCCTATGCCTGTCTTTACTTTAATCCCTTAAATCCCATCATCACTGTAAGCTGAGGAGGATATATGTCGCCTCAGGAACCTGTGATGATTGCGTTAACTGCACAAATTGTTTGCAGAGCAAGTGTGTTTGAACAATAAGAAATCTGGACAACTTGAAAAAAGAACAGGATAACAGCAATGTTCAGGCAACAAGAGAGATAATCTTAACTTCTGACCACCAGTGAGCCGGGCAGGACAGGGACATGTTTCTCTTCTTTCAAAAGCAAATGGGAAAAATATTGATGGATTATTTTTCTCAGCAAAAAACATCCCTGAGAAAGGAATGCATCCCTGAGTCTATGTTTCCTTATGTTAAAAAGTGGCCTCTAAAATGGCCACTTTGGGGGCAGCTGTCTTTTATGATTGAGCTGTAGGGATGAAATAAGCCCTAGTCTCCCACAGTGCTCCCAGGCTTATTAGGATGAGGAAATTCCCACCGAATAAATTTTTGGTCAGACCAGTTGTCTGCTCTCAAACCCTGTCTCCTGATAAGATGTTATCAATGACAATGCATGCCCAAAAATTCATTAGCAACTTTAATTTCACCCTGGTTCTGTGGTCCTGTGATCTCACCCTGCCTCCATTTGCCTTGTGATATTCTATTACCTTGTGAAGCATGTGATCTCTGTGACCCACACCCTATTCATACACTGTCATCTCTTTTGAAAATCACTAATAAAAACTTGCTGGTTTTGTGGCTCAGGGTCATCACGGAACCTGCCAAAATTTGATGTCTCCCCTGGACACCCAGCTTTAAAATTTATCTCTTTTGTACTCTGTCCCTTTATTTCTCAGACTGGCCAACTCTTAGGGAATATAGAAAATAACTTACATGAAATATTGGGGGTGAATTTCACTCAATATCTGGAGGCCACGTTCTCTTTCTCTTTTCCTAAGTACATGAGGGAACCCGATTCCTTTTGCTAGGTGCAGAGAAACATCATCAGTTTGGTCCACAGATATGCGTGTTCGACTCCCTGATGAGTGGTGAATAGTCTGTGTATGGTCTGGGATAACTGTGGGTCACATTGAGTATAAACATTATACCTATCTCTTCTATATTAAACTCTGGTTGAAACAGAAAAGGTTTCGAGTGCCCATGGAAAATATGATCACTGCATTCAGGGCAGTGGTAAAATTCTGTCCTTGGTCTCCTGAAAAAGGACCCTTAGACGTAGACCTGTTGAAACAGGGAAGGATCTGAGTAACCATGGAAAATATGGTCACTCTATTCAGGGTGGTGGAAAAATTCTGTCCTTGGTTTCCTGAAAAAGGAACCGTATATGTAGAAATATGAGATTGTGTTGGTATAGCATTCTGGGAGCTGGTCCCAGAAGGAAGTTATGTTCCTATCACTGTTTGGGGTTGTTTAGCCTTGGTGCATGTCATCTTAGTGGCTTGCCGATCTCATGATCCCCTGCAGTTGCCACAGTTTTCTGCCTTTTCCTCAGTTTCTCTGACATTTCCTCAGCCTTCCTCTCCCACACAGCCTTTGTTATCTGATCAGCTTCTCCCTTTGGCTACTCCTCCCCAACATGCTGACAATTCAATGTCTAAGTCTGGTAACTTTGGCTTAATGTTACCCCCTACTTATCTTACTTCTTTTCACAAAGAACCAATACTTGAAGCTCCCACGGATGTGATTCACACAGCCCAGGACCATTGATATGCTAATTCTTCTCTCTTCACACCTCCAGTATAAGCTAATGGCTCCAGGGCCAAACTACAATTTACCTATAATTCTCCAGGCCCTCCCCCATCCACTGTAGCCCCTCACCCTCCTGTTATTTTGGTTCCTCAACTGGCCTGTGTCAATATGCCCCGCTCAATCTTACTTTTTTAAAAAGTTTAAGGATGCTTGTACTCAATATGGTCCTAATTTTCCTTATGTTAAAATGGTATTTCAAACTTTTTGTACTTAGGTCATTTTGCTTCCTTTAGACTGTGGCCTTTTGGCAAAAAGCTGTTCTAACTCTGTCTCAGCCTAGTGGGCAGAGGAGGCCCATCTACAGGCTCAGCTAAATCAGACCAATGACATTCTAACTACTCAGGCTCAGCTCACAGGCTCGGATAGTTTCTTTGATACTTATGCCCAATTAAACTTTGATGCTCTTACTGCTAAACAAGTAACAAAGGTGTTTACGAGAGCTTAGGATAAGTTGCGTGCCCCAGGTGAAGCTCCTGTTTCTTTTACTACTGTTAAACAAGCTCAATTACTTTTACTACCTAATATCATTTTTAACAAAGGAGATAAGACAGGTGGCCCTGGGATGGGCTCTGGCAGTGAAAAGCTGCTTATTGGATTAATATAATTTCTAAACAATGGCCCACCTGCACCATACACATTCAAGGAATGAAGTTTGAGGGCCTAGTAAATATTGAGGCTGAAATTAATATTCCACATAACTCTTCTATTGCTCCCAGTCAGCATATGATGGAGAACATGGGGTTTGTTCCTGGACTCAGTCTCAGTCCAAACCATGAAGGGGTTACTAAACCCCTCCCAGTTACTATAATAGAAAACAGGGCTGGTTTAGGTTATCCTTTTTAGTGGTGGCTGCTGCCACGCCTCCTGATCCTATCCCTTTACAGTGGAAATCTGACACACACATCTAGATTCAGCAGTGACCATTTTCTAAAGAAAAACTGGAGGCTTTAACTCAATTGGTTTCCGAACAGTTACAACTTAGGAATGTGGAACCTTGTCTTTCCCCCTGGAATTCTCCTGTTTCTAGTAAAAAAGAAATCAGGCAAATGGTGAATGGTAACAGATTTAAGGGCCATTAATGCTGTAATTAAACCTATGGGGGCCATCCAACCCAGCATGCCTGCCCCAGCTTTAATACCTAAAAATTGGCCTCTCATAGTTATTCATCTTAAAGATTGTTTATTTCATATTGCTTTACATAAATCGGATTGTGAAAAATTTGCTTTTACTGTAACATCTATCAATAATCAAGAGCCTGCAACTCATTATTAATGGAAAGTACTTCCTCAGGGAATGCTGAATAGCCCTAAAATCTGCCAGCTTTATGTTGGACAAGTGCTTTCACCAGTTTGAGCCCAATTTCCCAAGGCCTATATTCTTCATTGTATGGATGATACTTTAATTGCTGCCCCCACTGATAAACAAATAATTGACTGTTATCAAATTTTCAGCCACTGTGTTGCAGGAGCTGGATTACACATCACTCAGGATAAAATTCAAGAGACCACTCCTGTTCAATATTTAGGAATGGTGGTCGGTAAACAAAGTATTCAACCTCAAAAACTTCAAATTAGTAGAGATTCTTTCAAAACTTTAAATGACTTCCAAAAACTGGGGTAACGTTAATTATTTAAGACCTACAGACAAACTTATTTCTACCTCTTATACCTCTGTTCAAAAGGCAGAGTTAATTGTTGTCATTACTACCTTACAGGATTTTCCCAAACCTTTAAATATTGTCTCCAATTCTACTTAACATGGGAAAGAGGATATGCTTGTGTTTCACCAGGAGATCATGAAACAAAAACCACAGAGAAAAGATGTCTGTGTCAGAGACTGCCCTCAGAAGTGGTGAGATCTGTGCCAACTCCTCAGAAGCAGGAACACAAAATCACAGTGGGTCTGATTCATTCCTCCCTGAGGGCGATGGATAACCATCTAACTAATCCTACTTCTGATTACCTTTCTTTTTCTCCTTACAAACCTAAAAATCTCACCATTTCTATTAGCCTGAAAATAACATCCCTCTGTTCTCTTCCTCCTTCAACATTCGATCTCACTTACAATAAGTTTTATTTAATGATTCTCCTCCTTATACTTTCTGTCTCACCAGTTTCTTCTCACACTGATTTACCTGCTACACATAATTATTCTTACTGGGCTTATGTGCCTTTTCTTCCTGGATTCGGCCTCTCACTTGGATTGATGCTCCTGCAGAAATCTACACTAACAATAGTGTGTGGATGCCTGGAGCTACAGGTGACCATTGTCCTGCTCAGCCAGGAGAAGGCAATGAATTTAATGTTACCATAGGTTACAAATACCCCACTCTGTGCCTCAGACAAGCACCTGGTTGTACCTGTCTAGAAACTCAAGTCTGGGCTGCTTATCTTCTGGAAAGATCAGCTACAGAGAAACTGGGACATTTCATCTCCAGCCTCTCCATTTCTCCTTTAAAATAAATGAAAGGGGGAGTAATGGGAAATACCCCATATTTTCAATATAAACCTGCAGGAAAACCATGCTCTAAAAATTTTGAGGGCCCATCTAAAACTTTAATTTGGGAAGATTGTGTTAAATCACATGCAGTAATATTGAAAAATGACTCATATAGTTTTGTAATAGACTGGGCATCAAAGGGCTATTTACAAAACAATTGCTCCTCTGGTGGAAGGGAATGCCTGGAGGCATTATTTATTTCTTAAGGGGAGAACGAGAATCATCATTCTACTTTGCATAGGAGGTTCAGCTCATTCTTTCCCTTAAAATGGGAAGATATAGGCATTATCACCTCCCCCAAGCCAGGCCTCCTATGATACTCCCCATTCTGAGCCCAGAACACCCAGAACTTTGGAAATTGGCTATTGCCATGTCTGGACTGCGAGTAAGGGAAAACTATTCTGTCTTTTGTCCCCACTACCATCCCACTCTCTCAGTATCAATGTAGATCCAGACATTCTGCTTTACTTACCTCCAACTTGACTGTTCCCATACAGAGTTGTGTTAAGCCTCCTTACGTGCTGTTAGTGGGAAACATCAAAATTTGGATGAACAATCAAACTGTCCAATGCATTAATTGTTATTTACACACTTGTATTAACTCCCATTTTGACTCCAGGAAAAGTGTAATGTTTATTCAAACTTGAGAAGGAATCTGGATTTTGGTAACTTTTCCCAGACCTTGGGAATCTTCCCCCTCAATACCCTTAATTAATGAAGTGCTACAGCGAATTCTAAAAAAGATCTAAGAGATTTGTTGTCACTTTAATGATGGATATCACAGGCCTAATTACAGTCACTGCAATGACCACCACTGCTGTAATGGCATTACACCAATCCATTCAAACTGCTCATTTTGTTAATGATTGGCAAGACAATTCCACCCAAATGTGGAATTCTCAACAAGGCATCAATCAAAAATTGGCAAATCAAATTAATGATTTAAGACAGTCTGTTATTTGGTTTGGAGATTGGGTGGTGAGTCTTGAACATCACATGCAAATGCAGTGTGATTGGAATACTTCGGATTTCTGTATAACCCCGTATTCCCATAAAGACACTGATCATTCATGGGAATTATTCAAAGGACACCTTCTGTTAAGGGGAGATAATTTAACATTGGACATAACTAAATTAGAGAAACAAATTTTTGAAGGCTCTCAAGCTACCTTATACATTGTGCCTGGAGCTGAGGCATTAGATCAGCTGGCAGAAAATCTTTATGGACTAAACCTCATGACTTGGATTAAGTGTACTGGGGGCTCCACTGTAGCAAATTTTGGAATTATGTTTGTCTGTTAAATTGGCTTGTTTTTAGAGTGCTGGACCCGTCAAAGAATCCTGCATCAAAATTGAAAGAACAAACAAGTCTTCATCACCATGGTAAATTTATATAAAAAGAAAGGGAGAGATGTTGTGGGAAGTCAGGAACCCTGAATGGAGGGACCAGCTGAAACCATGGCAGAAGAACATAAATTGTGAAGATTTTGTGGACATTTATTAGTTCCCCAAAATAATACTTTTGTAATTTCTTATGCCTGTCTTTACTGCAATCTCTGAACAGAAATTATGAAGATTTCATGGACACTTATCACTTCCCCAATCAATACCCTTGTGATTTCCTGTGCCTGTCTTTAATCACTTAATCTCATCATCTCTGTAAGCTGAGGAGGATGTATGTCACTTCAGGACCCTGTGATGATTGCATTAACTGCACAAATTGTTTGTAGAGCAAATGTGTTTGAATAATATGAAATCTAGACAACTTGAAAAAAGAACAGGATAATAGCAATGTTCAGGCAACAAGAGAGATAACCTCAAACTCTGACCGCCAGTGAGCTGGGCAGAACAGAGACATATTTCTCTTCTTTCAAAAGCAAATGGAAGAAATATCGCTGAATTATTTCTCTCAGCAAGGAACATCCCTGAAAAAGAGAAAGCATCCTTGAATGTAGGCCTCTAAAATGACCACTTCAGGGGGCGGCTGTCTTTTATGGTCGAGCTGTAGAGATGAACTAAGCCCTATTCTCCCATAGCACTCCCAGGCTTATTAGGATGAGGAAATTCCACCTAATAAATTTTTGTTCAGACCGGTTGTCTGCTCTCAAACCCTGTCTCCGATAAGATATTATCAATGACAATGCATGCCTGAAACTTCTTTAGCAATTTTAATTTTGCCCTGGTCCTGTGGTCCTGTGATATCACCCTGCCTCCATTTGTCTTGTGATACTCCATTATGTTGTGAAGCACATGATCTCTGTGACCAACACCCTAGTCATACACTCTCTCCCCTTTTGAAAATCAGTAATAAAAACTTGCTGGTTTTATGGCTCAGGGGACATCACAGAACCTGCTGACATGTGATGTCTCCCCTGGACACGCTTCTTTACATTTCTCTCTTTTGTACTCTGTCCCTTTATTTCTCAGACTGGCCAACACTTAGCAAATATAGAAAATAACCTACGTGAAATATTTGGCATGAATTTCACCCAATATCTGGCTGAATTTCCCCCAATATGGCAGAAATGCAATTACAATGGGCTTCATCAAGGTTTGTCAACTACCCATAGCAAACCCTGTCAATGTAATACATATGGTAAAGCTTTAGGGTTCTGATCAATATTCACTTAATATTAGAAAATTTTTGGCAGAGAGAAATGCTACAAATGTGAAAAATGTTGCAAAGACAGTAGGATGTTTGCAGTTTTTACTATACGAAGAAAGTTCATACTACAAAGAGATGTTACAAATGTAAAGTAAAGTGGCAAATGCAATAAAAATTTCTCAAACCTTACTGAAAATAAGAAAGTTCATACTGGAGAGAAATACTACAAGTGGAAAGAATGTGGCAAAAAGTTTACCTGTTCCTCAACCCATATTAAACTCAAGAGAAATTGCACTGTAGAAAGACTTGACAAATGCAAAGAATGTAGCAATGCCTTTAGATGCTTCTCAGAACTTGCTAAACATAAGATAATTCATACTGGAGAGAAGCTGTACTAATGGGAAGAATGTTATAAACCCTATTAGTGGTTCTCAGACCTAAATAAACATAAGATAATTCATCCTGGAAATAAATCTTACAAATGTGATAAATGTTGAAAAGTTTTACGTGGTTCTTGACCCTTAGTAAACATAAGAGAATTCATACTGTAGAGAAACCTTACATCTGTGTAGATGTGGCAAAGCCTTTACCTGCTCCTCAACCCTTATTAACAACAAAAGTATTCATATGGAAGAGAGCTTACAAATGTGAAGAATGTGATAAAACATTTCAGTGATTCTCAGACCTTACTAATCATAAGATAATTCACACTGAACAGAAACCCCCCAAAAATGTGAAGAGTGTGGAAAAGAATTGAGCTTGTTTTCACACCTCATTTAAACATTAAAATAATTCATATTAGATAGAAGTTCTACAGGTGCTAAAAATGTGATAAACCTACTAACAAGTCTTCATGTTGTGTTAAACATCAGAAACAATACCGAACAAATGCAATGTAAAGGGGATTACAGTTGAAGAACATTTAATTTAACATATTGGAGGGTCTCTAAGTATTTGCTTTATAATCTGGGAGCTCTTCTGTTGGATGGATATGTAGCTCTTTACTATTATGTAATGCCCTTCTTTGTCTTTTTAAATCTATGTTGATTTAAAGTCTGTTTTGACAGAATCTAGGATTGCAAACCATGCTTCTCTCTGTTTTCTATTTGCTTGGTAGACTCACCTCTTTCACTTTATTTTGAACTTATTTGATATGAGTCTCTCAATTATAGCATACCATTAGATATTAAAACTGTATTTAGCTTATCATCAACTTTTTAATTGGGGCATATAGTCCATTTACATTTAAGGAGAGTATTCATATGTGTGGATTTGTTTCTGTCACTATAATCTTAGCTGGCTATTTTGCACATTTGTTTATGTGGTATAGTGTCAGCAGTTTATGTATTTTCATGTGTTTTTGTAGTGACCAGCAACAGTCTTTTTCTTATTTAGTGATTTCTTCAGAAAATTTTGTAAGTAATGTCTTGTGGTAACAGATTTCCTTAGTGTTTAGTTATGTACATAGGATCATATTTATTTTTTTACTTCTGAAGATTACTTTGGTCTGATATAAAATTCTTTCTTGGAATTCTTTTTTAAAGGATGTTAAAGATTGATCCATAATCTCTTTTTACTTGTAGAATTTCATCTGAAATGTTTGTTGTTTGTTGGAAGGGTTCTTTTTTTAGAGATGACCTGGCCTTTGTCCCTAGCTGCCTTTAATAATTTTTTTCATTCAATTTGACATTGGAGAATCTCATGATTATGTCTTGCAAATCACCTTCTCATGGGGTATCCTACTGGGGTTCTCCACATTTTTTACATTTGAATGTCTTCCTGGCTATCTAGGTGGGGAAGTTCTCATGGATAATATACCAAAATATGTATTTCAAGTTGTTTTCATTCTCCCCATCACTTTCCGGCACTCTCTTTAATCATATATTTGATTTCTTTACAAAATTAAATATTTTCTCAGAGGTTTTGTTCATTTCTCTTTATTCTTTTTTTCATTATTCTTATCTGTATTATTTCAGACAGCCAGTCTTGAAGGTCTGAGGTATTCTTTCCTCTGCTTGGCTTATTCTGCAGTTAATATTTGAATAAATTATAAGGTTTTTGAATTGCGTTTTCCAGCTCTATCACGTTGGCCACATTTTCTTCCAGACTGGCTGTTTTATCTCTCAGTTTCTGCATTTTTCCCTTCCTTGCATTGGTTTGCAACTTAGTTTTGTAACTCAGTGAAGTTTATTTCTTTCCACATTGTGAATTCTACTTCTGTCATCTTAGGCCATACTGGAAACGTGATTTGGTTATTTGGATGAAACAAGTCACTCTGGCATTTTTGTTTTCAATATTTTTGCATTGATTTTGACTCATCTTCGTGGACATATCTTTGGGGTTGTTGAACTTTGATTGAGGGGTTTTTTTTGTTTGCTTGTTTGTTTTTCTTTTTGATATTCTTGAGTATTTGATTGTGGCATAAGGTGTTTTCATCCAACAGTCCTTCTTCCTGGGAGAGGTTTCTTTATGCATCTGTGTGTGTGTAGTGGGGATGGGGGAAATGCTCAGCTCACAACTCAGAGTCTGCATAATGAGGGCAATTTGTATTGAGACCCAATTCTCTTCCCTGTCTCTTTGATATTTGGAGTCTGCCACTCTGGGACTAAGTTGCTGCAGTTTCAGCAGAGTGCTAGTGTGTACGGAGTTTCTGCCTGTCTTTGGTTATTCATCTCAGTAGTGGGAGCAAAGTAGCTGGGATAGGAGTAGGTGTACCTGCTGGAGACTGTGTGGGCTGTTGCACAAAAGGTGGTGTTAGCATATGGCAGGATGCTGGCCAAAGAAGTTTTGAAGCCTTATTTTTGCCCCCCAAAGGAGAAGTAATTGTTCAGAGTGTGGGAGCATATCCTTTTCTCTACAAAGTGTTAGCACAAAGGTAGTGGTGAGGCTTTTTGATTCTATGCCCACCAAAGCTTTATATACAATGGCAGTTGCTGGGGTGGCAGGACCATACTGCATTTCCATTTGCTGGTTGGCAAAGCAAAGACAAATCTGCTTTCAAGACATGTGCCAGCAAAGTAATATAAGGAGTTGCCATGTTTTCATAGGAAGCTGCAGTGTAGGAAAGAAACACGTGGGCTATTGCAATCACGTGGGCTGCCTAGCTGGAGTTCTTCAAGCATCATGTGTGACCCACCTTGCAGATGGTATCGTATGGGCTCCCAGTGTGCCTGAGACTTCCCTGCAAGGATCTGGGTGCCAGACTGGGTGCCTGGGAGGGGACAGCAAACCAAGGAGTACTCAGTTGGATAAGCTTCTGATTTGCAAGGCTATAGTACAGTAATTAGGTCCAACAGTTCCCTAGGGCTAAAGTCTCTTATGGGAAAAACTTGATCCTACAGAAATGGCCATCATTAGCCACAATTTACTACAGATACTCTTGCACCAAACCCTCTGGTCACCAAATGAGCTAGCTTGCTGCCCTTGTTTGCTTTGTTTGTTTTCTGGAGGTTTATTTCATTTGCTTGTTTTATGGAGGCTGCATCTCAGAGAGATGTAGGTCAGCAATACTTCAATGCAGTCAGCCCATGATGGAGGATCTGTGATTTTAGTCAAGTTAGGGGATGGTGAGGAGCAGTGGGTAGTTTGTGGGACCCACGGTGAATGGACTGGCCTCTTCTTGGGAAAACTGCAGCTTGTTTGCTGTTTGAATAAGGCACTTAGGGTTTTGGATTTTTCACTAGTCTGAGTGTAGCAAGGACACATCTACTGCAGAGGCAGTGGCAGAAATATTTTCAGTTGCTGCTATAATCTCTGTCCAGGGAATTGCTAAGTTGCTACTGTCTCAATAGCTCTGGCAGTGATTGGCTAGTGGCCCAGGCTGGGAGAACCTGCCCAGTGAGAATATATGAAGACAGGCAATCTCATAACAATCTGGCCACTTTTCTGAAGGGCTGCTTCAGTGTGCTAGCAGTCCACTGAAATTCCTAGTCACCTCAGATTTTCCAGTATTTGAAGTTACCACCAGTGAATGCTGCAAAACTAAACAATTTCAGTGTGTCACTTTTTTTTTTTCTGGGAGCTCTATCCTAGGGAGTTATAGACCGCTTTCCAGCTCAATAGCACCTGTAGGAGGTAGCTGGAATCTCTTGTCGAAATTTCTTACTCAGTAAGGAGAACATTATTGGGGAGCCACATAAGAAGGCAGTCTAGCCACATTTTTTTAGTACATCTCTGATGTGCAGAGGTACCACTTCCATCCCCAGCTTATTTGGATTCTTTAAAGCCAGAGGGCTGGAAGAGCTAAGTCATACACATAGGAAAAATTGCTGCTCACTCTTTCCTCTAGGAAATATATCCCGAAGATATTTCAAAATTCCATCGACCAAACAGCACCAATGGTGGTAACTGGACACACTGGTTAGGAAGTGCTTTCCAGTGTTAAGAAATGAGATTGGGGACCTGATTTAATAAGGAGTCTGACCATGTCTTTTTAGGGCATTTGTACTGTGCTAGGAGATTCTGCCCTATGTCAGATTGGGCTTTTTAAAATCTGAAGGCTGGAAGGGCTAAGTTGCCCAAGCAGCTAAGGTGGTGTCCCACTCAACTTTCTGGTAGGTGGTGTCCCACTCGACTTTCTGGTCCTCCTCTCCATTTCAGGGAGGTATAGTGCTACTGCCAATGGTTGAGCAGAATGCTAAGCCAGTAAGTCTTACACTGTGGGGCACTGTGGGCATGAGTTCTATAGATCATCAATGCTCAACCTCCTGGATTCTGCCTCTTTTCTATGGGTAATTACAGAAGTGTTGCATCCTCCTTTGCTCGAGTTGCAACTACTTTTTCTGGGAAGCCTGGAAAGCCCAATTACCTAAGGCTTTTGAATCTCTGCAAGGGCCTCAGTAGCTGATCTCTTGAGACTACATTTATTTCTGTATGTTAAACTGAAGATCTTGATGAAGCAGGTACATGAATAGATCTCCTTACCTGACAGCTGCAAAGATCTGTGGGAGAATCATGGATTCCCAGGGTCATATATATACCCACTGCTTCATTGAATGTGGAGGTTTTCTTGGCTTCATGTTGCTCCCAGGTGGCCTATTGTCCTTTCTTGCTTTATTCCATTCTCCATAACTTAAGTTGTTTGATTGTTCCCAATGCAAGTACCTGGAAGTTTCAGTTGAAGGTGATGTATTTATGCACACCTTACATTTCTTTCTATGAGAACTACACAGGCTAGCTGCTTCTATTCAGCAATCTTGATCACTTTCCTATAATAGAAACAACATTTTTATATTAAAATAATTTAATATTTTTTCAAAAGCAAATATTGATGTAATTTAACTCTTATATATCTTCCTGTGTCTTCATTTCTAGAATTTATGTGAAAAAACATGGAGAATGATTGCTGCACCAGAGTTACGAGAGGTTCTTCCATATTAGATGTACAAATGTACATATTTTGTGATGGAAGATTAAGAAAACTGAAATCTAAGACACATGAGAAATTTCTAAGTGAAAAGTCCAATTATTGGTTGGTTTATAACAGTATCATAGTGACAGGATGATGGGAGTGTGGTAAGTGATCAGGATAATATTATACATAGTATCAGAAAAATTTGAATTTTAGAGGAAAATTGCTTTACCATTTGAAAATTAAGGTAATTAAAATACAGTGAATTTCAAAATACCTTTTCAATGACAATGCTTGGACTTAATTTTTTCTAATTAACCAGAAGTTTTTGTGTGTGTGTATGTTGAGGTTATTTTACATTAAATGTGTGTCTTGCCACTGATGTTAACTTATCCTATATTACTCAAGATTGTAGGTAACACATGGTAACAATATACTATTGGGTGACAGTGAAATAACATCTCTAGTGATTCTTTTGTCAGTGGTCCTTAACTTAAAATAATTTGGAAAATATGGTTTCTACAACTTAAATTTATGTTTTTCTTGTAACTAAAGGTTATTATGATGGTTCTAATGGAAATTATATCAGTATAATGGTGCTACTTTCTTCTGAATTCTCAACAACAGTTTACAAAATTTTATTCTACTTTTTTCTGTTAAACATGTGACATCTCTGGTCTGCTAAACACATAAAGACCTTTAGTTTTCATTTACGTGAATTTAAAAGTAAAATATATATTACTGTAAAATAAACTTTGGGTGTGTAACAGATCTATAGCAAGTAATCATAGTTATTTTTGGCTCTGTACCTACTTTGAGAAGAAAACAAAAATATTAGAATGAAACAGATAATTTTACAAGTGTCGATAACTTACCACAAAATAAAAAAACTTCACAGATTTTGAAAGCAATTCTATTTCCTCAGCTTTCTATTAAACTCATTTATTTAAAATCTTATTGTGCTTTGCTTAGAATAATCTTGGGCTAATTCTACATTTTTTGTTTGTCCGTTTGTTGTCAACTGTGGATATAACATTTAATTTTCTCTTCAGAAAATTTCATAAAGCATTCTTTGGTTTGGGTGTGGTGGCTCACATCTGAAATCTCAGCAATTTGGGAGGCTGAGGCAGGTGGATCACCAGATACCAGGGGTTCGAGATCAGCTAGGCCAATATACTGAAACCCGATCTCTACTAAAAATACAACAACAAAAAAAATATTTGGGTGTAGTGGTGGGCGCCTGCAATCCAAGCTACTCGGGAGGCTGAGGCAGGAGAATCACTTGAAACCGGGAGGTGGGGAGGTTTCAATGTGTCTTCAGTTCTGGGTAGATTTTGGGCAGTTTACTGATACATAAAGAGTGGTTATGTTGCATCAGGCTCCATGAAAACCCGGCTTCTGCCAGTAGTAAAACCCAGTAATGTTGGTAATATTTTTTCAGATACTGAAAGATAAAGAACAAGTAAATGAATCTGTTTGAGTTTTGGTGGGTAATGCAGGCAGTAAATTTAATCTCATTTTTGTAAACTTTAAATATTACTACTGAAGACCAGAATAGATTTTTTCTTCTAAATTTTGGCAACTATATAAGTATGTTCATAATGTCACTTTCATAGATAATATGAATATCAATTGTCAGGTATGTTAACATCTAAAATAAAATATTTGAGAATAGTATTACTTATCATGTCCAATACAATGTTTTAAGTTGCCTAATTTAAAAATTTGTCAAGTGCATTGCATGCCTAAATATCTTTTCTTAATATTAAGAATAAGATGTAAAATAATTTATGCAAGTAACATAAACTAAGTTTACTGAAATTACTTACTCATTTAAGAAATCCTATTACATTTTAAATAAATTGGTGTCATCTGTTAGTATTTGTGTAGCATATTATTTTATTTAAATTTTGCCTCTAAAACAGGTAATAATCTAAACAATGAAGGAAACAAAAATTCAATGATTGGCATGAAAATAAATTTCAGGAAAATAAAGGTTTGTATGATGACTTAATTAAAATAATGTGAAGGGTAAATTTTTTAATATATGTTTTTACACATTTTTGAGCAAAAGTAACTCTGAGATAGAAATATGCAGAAAATACTATAATTATATTTTAAGACTTTCTTATTGACTTTTGCACTTAGAAAACCTCCAACACAGGCCCAGTATTCCCTAGGCACTTCTTCCAAGAGAACAACCAATGGAAATGAAGCAGAAGGCCACATTCACAAAGATAAATGGATGCTCGCCTCCTAGATACCAGTAGGTGCAGGTTGCTGAAGGAGTAGTCCTGTCTTGGGGGTCCAGCTAGGGTCTCTGGGCACCAAAGTAGATAAAGTTCCTGGAACTCCACTGAGCCCGCTTGCCTGCAGAGGACTCAAAGGGCCCTGAGGGATGCCGGCCTAGGTGGTTTGACCTATTCCTACCCTGCCTTACCTGCTAGTTTTTCCACAAATAAATCAGGATGGCTCCCACCAATACAGCCCTACTAGAGGAAGGAGATCAAGAGTGTCAAGGTTCACAGCCATTTTGAAACATTAAGTGAATTATTGATTAATTAGTCAATAAGTTAGAGCAGAATGTGCTTCTGTGACCTCCTGAAATCACATTTTAGGAGGAAACTTGGGTGATACCTTACTGACACTTTGCATTGGAGGAAGGATCAACAGGCTACCTGAGGGTTCCAGTGAACGTGTGCCCCTAGCCAACCCAGGGAGACATGGGTTTGGCAAAAGCAGGCAATAAAGGTGACATACAGTCTGTAAACTGGATATTAAAAGCACATGTTTTTCTAAAAGTGCTAACCTGCTCTTTAACAAAGATTATAAGAGGTATCTTAGCACAGGCACAATATCTACAATTTCCAATACACCAGCACCAGCCAAGACACTGCATTCTCATCAAAGGGTTAAAAGAAGAAAAAACTGAAGCCAGCCTCTGAGAGAACCTGTAAGATGAATTCTTGCTCTGATAGTGTGACTCTTTGAAGTTTGATAGCCTGAAGGTGAAGAGAATCAAACTGGGTAATTAAGAAACACGTATTTAAATGAAACAAGGGAAAAGTTGAATGGACAGTTCAAAAAATTCAAGGTCTTTCACCAGTTTGCATAGGGAGAGGGATGCCAAAAGCCCAACAGGGAAAACAAACAAACAAACAAACAAACAAAAATTTACCCTTTGGACAGCATATCAGTCTTCTGGGTTCTTTTCTCCTGGGTCCAATCCTAAGCCATCCAGTTTAATGTTTTGGAAATTAACTCTTCCAAACTTGGAGGATGCATTGAAGTGGAACAACCCAAAGTATGGAGACGTGATTACCTCTCTGTAAACAGCAAACAGAGGAGAAAAAATGAAAAGTAAGCATTTTTTCAAAGGCATTCTAAGGGTTCAGGATGCATTCAAAATGGGTATAGACTAAAGATGAATGACTATTTATCTAGAAAGAGAGAGAGGAGCAGGTGTCCCTGGTTCTTTTCTCTTCCTAGCAAATTCCCAGAGTATGTTGAGCTATAAGAGAAGGAATATTATTTTTCCCACTTCAATCCTTGTATACCCAAGTCCCAGTGATTGTAACAGGCTGCCACCCATGGGTGTCAAGGCAGCTTTGAATAGTGTTAACAGGGAGGCCTGGGGGGTGGAAATATCTGCTCTTAACCACATGTTCCCTATCTCCCCTGCTGTTGGTAGTTCTGGAGTTCACTAGACCTCATTTATAGTATGGATAGTAGCATAATCTTTATCCATGAAATCAGAGGCTTGGCTTAATCAGTGGAAATTAATTATGCTCACCTGCACCATGCTGTTTACCTCTGTTATCACCTGCCTCTGGATTTCTCAAATTTTCTATTTTTTTCTACAGTGTCAACCAGAAGCTTGGAATTGAGGTTGGGAGAAAAATTTGTCTCAGGGCATTGTATGGACTCTTTATCACGAGCTGAATGCTAAGATAAAGTTGTGGAATTGAGTTCTTCTTCCATAAGGAAGAGAAAAGAATGACTGACACATTGAGGAAACTAGTGGCTACCGTTGTAGTTATAAAATTTGGGTGGGCACTTTATTTATTCCCATCACTCTGCAGAATTTGCAGGAAAATTGTCCAGAACTAGAATGTTAATCCAGATGTTTACATTACCAACTCCTTTTGTGTGTGTGTGGGGGGCGGGGGGGCTGCAGTTGAAGATCACTAGTTGAGTCACAGAAATAAGCAGGATTGTTCTAAAATGTAGGCAAAAATTCAAAACCAATGCGTTTAAAATATAATGACAAATCTATAATAAATTGCGAAATATTATCTTTATCCAATCCTCTTTTCTGTTAAAAAAAACAAATCAAGATAGGACTGAGTTGTTTGTAAGACAAACTTTACTCTTATACTTGACCTTATTATTTTCATAAAGTGCAGCAAGAATAAATATTTCTGTATAAGTCTTTTATATTGGCTTTGATGGACCTCTGTTCCACAAGAAATTTCAGACAGGACTTTCTAAAGTCAACCCCAGCCATGGGTTTGTACCATCAAATACTTTTCAGTTGGGTGATTCTCTCCTTATGGTCCCAACATAAAGTTGGAGCTGTTGGGCCTCTCAGTAATGTCATTCTTTACTTACCACACATAAGGAACCCTGCTAAAGGACTGTTTAGATGAGGTGTGAAGCCAATTTTGCCACCGAAGTGTTCTTGGCTCTGCAAGTTGAACTTGACTCCTTACAGGGAAGCTTCTTTTTCAGTCAAGGCCTTGGTAAAAAAACAGTTTCTCCAGTTCTCTTCTGTTGGAAAAGAAATTGGACTATTATTGCTCTGATGCAAACACCTATATTGCCATAAGTTAAGAACACTCACAACTATTTTTGAAATTCTGGAAAAACCCTGCAGAGAAAGACAAACATGTTTCAAATTGTGTACACAGGAGTACACCTTACTCAAATATTAATGGCTGTTTCCTTGACTCTGGTAAACAATACAAGAATCAGTAATGTTTCATGTAAAAGGCAAAAAGATTACTTCAGTTTTCTATTAGTCCAGTCCATTCAGTTAACACTTCTTTTGTTTGATATTCATGGATATTTTAGCTCTTTAAGAGTCCTGTAAGTTTTTCCTGTATGCCAGTGTCACAGACTCCAAAGTTATCAGAAACCTGCAAGTGAGAGCACCTGTCAAAGATCTACAGCTGATTAGAAAATGCTTTTATAAAAAATTAAAACAAGACAACAATCATCTGTTTATAAGAAAATGTCCAGGGTAGTTACAGTCAGAAACATGACAAAAATTTCTATTATTTCTATGGTTTAAAATACTGTAACAACCTTAATTGTTGATAATAGCATATACTTCAGATATTAGAAATACCACATAATTTTGGAACATGTGTTAGTATTAGTCATCAAAACATCATCTAAAGAATATTGAACACCATTTTGGAAATTCTATGTAATTAATCCTGTCATATAATCCAGTTTAACTCTCTCGTGGATACTCCATGGGCCCTCTGTAGCATCCAAAAGCCAGAAATTAAGAAAGATAATTTTGTAGCTAAAGCTTGATTTTGAGAAGGATGTTACATGTTAGGGGTTTAAAACACCCCTTGTGTAAAGAAATACAATTCCAGGTTATCATAAATTACATATTTAACTAAAATGATGACTTAGAAATGTAAAAAGCAATAACATTTTATAATTCTTTATGAATTTTGGTAAGGAACAGATTAATGCCTTAAGAGTACCTTGTTGAGCTTATATTTCAATGCTCAACTTACAAGCATCTCACAGGCATGATAATAACTGTCATATGTAGACCTCACAAATAGAAGAAATTTTGACTTTCTTAACTTGCTTTTGAAACAAGAGTGATTCAGTCTCTTTCTGGTAATAAAAAAGTTCAAAGAAGATTATAATAGAGTCTGATATTTTATAATGTCCTCTGCTTATACAGAGAGTTTTATGACAGAACCCAGCAGAAAGGTGAAATTGTGAGTCTCATATGCAGAGTCAGATGACAGTAAGGAATGTCATTTTCACAAATATATGAAGATGACTGTCACTTATCAAAACAAGTAATGTGTGTTATTGTAAATCTTACCCTGGGAATGTTCTGCCAGTGTGTTTGTAATTTAAATTTTTGTGAAGCACCTGTGTGATTTGAATCCCTACACTGGTTTCAGCCCACATGTGTTATTGTGGTACCCACCTGGGCCAACCTCAGGTGGTATGACTCTCCTGCCTGGGCCTTTCTCCCAGTAAGAATCATGACAAATCATTACATCCAGCACCTAGATCATGTTACTTTTTTTCCTAAGCCATGCCCACAGAAATTATTGTGACATATCACTCTGTCAGCCACTCAGGTGATATGACTCTCCTCATTAGATTGGGCTCTGCACAGAGTGTGGTGTAGTGATGTATGAGTGCTAGCCACAGAGGTGTTGGAACTCCTTTGATAGGAACTTCTAAAGAGGGCATTGTGACAAATCTCTTGGCCTGGGTCTACGTGATATAATTCACTGCTTGAGTCCTGCCCACATGGAGCATTGCAACATAAATGTGAAACCTGAAACCTGTAACTATTTGTTGTAACTCTCCTAAATGTGTCCTGTCCTAAGGGAGCATTGTGATATATCTCAGGACCCAGTATAAAAGTGATGTGACTCTTCTGCTTGAATTCACCTCACATATTAGATTGTGTTATATACCCAGGGAAGCACCTAGGTGATATTACTCTTCTCTTCTGACTGAGCCCTGCCTACTTGGGACATTGGGTCATATATCTAAGCCTGTGTCATATGTCATGTGTATCTTTTATTCAACCTGATCCCTTACAATGATGTGGTGTGATGTTTTGCTATGTCCAATACCTAGATAAAGTGACTCTTCTTTTTTTTTTCCCAAAACCATGCCAATGAAAATAAATTTTGATGTATTGCAGGGTACAGCACCCAGATGATGTCCCATTTCTGCCTGGGTCTTGCAGAAAGAGACAATTATGGCATATTGCTTGGCCCCTCACACTCATGGTGTAATTCTCCTGCTTGTACCAGAGCAACTGAAAGTATTTTTATATATCTTGGGCCCAATATGTGGGCGTTTTTGGTCTCTTCATTTGTTTGGGCTTGTTTTTCCCCATTTGGGATTGTGTCATATTGCTGGGTCTAGCACTCCAGCACCCAGGTAATGTAATCCTCCTTTCTAGACCCTGCCTAGAGAGGGTTTGGTGACATATTGCTTGCCACAGCAAATAAGTTGTGCTACCCTTCCAACAAGTTTTTTTCTAAAAATGAGATCATGATATTTACATTGCTTCAACTCAGTGACATAATGATCAAACATAATTGGCATTCCACAAATAGTAGATTTTTGCCTCTCATCACTATGCTTAGGGCACTAGTTATGTTTATGAGTTTCATATTTGTACAAAGCTCACAGAAGTTTACAACACTAACTCATATTCTATAAACTTGGGTGGTACACAGTGTTTTATAACAGGGCCCAGCAAAAGATTAAAATCGTGACCCTTGATTACAAATGCAGGTGAGAGAAAAAGTTTTTAGCATCCCATATTCACAAAGCCCGCTGTTGAAATTCTGACTCTAAGAAGTAAATAAAATACAAAGATGGAACTGTGACTTTCATATGTGGATCTTGCTACAGATGAGATGGTGACTCATTTCTGGACCCAGATTATAGGCACCATAATGCGTTTTCTGTCTGAAACCAGCCTATAAGAGATCTGTCGATTATCATAACAAGGTTTATATCAATATGTATGTTTTGAGTCAAACAAGTATGTAGGCTTCAGAGTGGCTTGCAACTCTAAGGTATTTTGGATAAATCCTTCAGATGTTGTAGAGAGTCTCATAGGATGACCTAGAACACACAAGAGATTGTGACTCTTATATACATACCAAGCTAACAGTTAAAGGTGTCAACTAAAAGATGAAGTGATTGTGTTATATCACAAAGTCTAGCACCCCAGTGTTGAGATTCTTGGCTTAAATTCTTTCCCGTGGGTGCATTGTGAAATATTGCTGGGTTAGAATCATAAAAAGGTGACTCTTCTGCATGGATCCAGCCAGAAGGGGATATTGTCACATATCTCTTGGCCTATCAGCTAGGTTATATGTCTCTCCTCTCACAGTGCGCTCTCACAGGGGACACTGAGCTTATGCTGGATACAGCATCTAGGTAATGTGACTCTCCTCTCCTGCCTGGATCTCACCTACCTAAGAAATTGTGACATACCACTGAATGCAAAACCTAGGTGGTATGACTCTTCTCTTTGTGATGGAATCTGCCATGAGAAGGAATTATAATATATTGCTGAGCCCAGCACCTAGGGACTGTGACTATCCTCTATTTTTTCAACCTGTATACAGTGGTCAAGATGATATATTATTTGAGACTGTACCCAGGTGACATGACTCTTCTGATTGGATGCTGCCTAAAAATAAGATTAATATATTTCTGACTCAGGACACCAGATGATGTGACATTTCTATACTGTCTCAGTCCAAAGATGAAATTCTAACATATACCTGGATTCAACTGATATGCACAATAATAACTCTCATGCATGGACCCAGCCAAGGGAGATATTTTGACTCTCATAGCCAGTTTATGGCCATGGGTGAAGTCCTAGATCTCCCCCAATAAAATTCAGACAAGAGTATCCTATGCAGGTGTATCATATAACATCTGCATGGTACAAAGAGTGTCATAACAGGCACCACCAACTAGGTATTATGCACATTCAGCTGACACAGCTGTAATTTTCACACATGAACAGAGCCTACAAATGAGTTACAAAATCTCACACACATAAGGAGACAAAGCTTGACATTGTTACTGTCGTACATGAGTCTTATCCACAGATGGTTTGGTGACATTTAAACCATGATTCTCCAGACCTGTGGTGCATGACTAACCTACTGGAACACAACCTTCAATGTGGTTGGGGCTTTTACACATGCATCTTGCCCATTGTTGAGATTATGACTCCTTTACTTTGACCCAACTCATAGGAGGTGTTGACTGTCATACCCAAAGCCAGCAGTTGTGTGGGACTGTAAAATTTATTTCTGAACATTTTCAAATGTGTGATTGTGAAGTTTGACTTTGTCCAGCATCTGAGTATTTTGAGTAATCTTTCTAGGCTGAAAACCTAGAAATTCTGACATATGTGCACCAGCACTTAAGCAATGTATAACAACTTTTTGGCAATGCAACTAGGGGCATTTTATGTATCACTGGTACCAGCAGTGAGCTGATGTGAACTCTTGGCCTAAACCCTAGCTATAAAGAGCATTGTGGCTTTTATCTAGGTCCATCATGTAAATGATGTGAGTTTCTTGTACTGCCTTGGCCCTACACTTATGGTGTATTGTGACATACAACTGGGTACTGCACTCAGGTGATGTGAAACTTTTCTGAGGGGAGTTCTGCCAATAAAAAGCTTTGTAACATATTAAATGGCTCAGGCCCTAGGTGATGTTTCCTCTCTTGCCTTGGCTCTGACAAACAGAGAGACTTTGACATATTGCTGAACCCAGCACCAAGGTAAGGTCACTCTCCTGACTTGATCCTACACACAAGGGCCATTTTGACACTTATAAAGGCAAGGTGTCTATATGCAGTTTCTCTCCTCTCCTGCCTAAGCCTTGCCAACAGGGAGGATTTAGATATGTCACTGAAACCAGCATCCAGTTGACTGAATCTTCTCCAAGAATCCAACCTACAAGGAGAATTGTGACATTTCACTGGACATGCACCCACTTAAGTGGTGTAACTCTCCTTTTGTTTCCTCTCCCTCCCCACAGGTGATACTCTGCCATATATGTGAGCGAGATAAAAGGCATAATAATGACTCTTGTACCAGGAACCACAACATGTACAGTATTGTGACTCTCAACCCTGAACCTTTCCACAAGTGTTATTATGACATTTACTTTTGCCCAGCTACTGAATGATTTAACAATCCTGCCTATTTATAGCCTAGATAAGACATTTTTACATATAACTGGGCCAAAACTTTGGTGATTTGACTTTTGTCTTAACAATGCCCTCCGAAGGGATGATAACATATCTCTGGACATATCATCTAGCTTATGTGACTTTCCTCTCCTGACTGAACCCTGCTTAAAGTGAAAAGTGTAGCATTTCTAAGCATTACATCCAAATGATATGACTCTTTTCTGGGGTCATTACAACAGGAGGCATTGTGATATATCTCTGGATCCATCATGTAGGTGATATGACTCTCTTCTCCTGCCTGGACACTCTCCACAAGGGATATTATGCCATATAGCTGGGCATAGCACCTAAATTCTGTGACTTCTCTGTTAGAGTCTTGCCTACAAAGAGTACATTGGAATATTTCTGGCTTAGGATTTAGGTAATGCTGTGTCCTCCCTGTTTAATAACCACTGAGGGCATGGTGACATATACCTGGACACAGCTAACAGGCATGACAATGACTCTCATATGTGGACACAGTCAATAGGAAAAATTTTGACTCTTACAACTAGGTTTAGAGACATGAGTGATGTCAAGCATCTCCTACTATTAACAAAGTCACAGAAGATTACAACACTTACACATTTTATAACACCATTAAGTTATAAAGGCATTAAGTTATGGAGAGTGTCATAACAAGGCCTCTCATAAAGAGTAAATTGTGAGTCTCTTATGAACACTTAGCTAACTGTAAAGATTTTTACCATCACAGAAGATAAAGGCTACTGTTCTACATGAAAACAAGACACATGTGGTATTTTAAAATAATCCCTAGAATTTTATTTTATCGTGACTGTGATATAAAGCTTTTCCATGCACTTTTGTGATTTCACTCTTCAGACTAGTTCCAGCCTACATAAAGGATTTTGATATTTACCTGGGCCAACACTGAAGTTTTGTGACACTTCTGCCTGGGCCCTGATCTCATTAAGGATTGTGACATCATTGGATTCAGTGCTTAGGTGACATTACATTCTTGCCTGCTCCCTGCCCCTAGACAACCTTGTGACATATTATGTGTCCACCACTGAGGTGATGTAACTTTCCTCTCTGGAATGGGCCCTACACACAGGGCAGGAGAGTGACATATTCATAGGCAAGGCACACAGGTAATGATGATTTTTTTTCCACGACCATGCATAAAAGACAATATTATGACATATTACAGGGCCTATTATATAGATGATATGGCTTTTTTGTTTGAAACCTGCCCACTTGTATAGTGACATATTGCTAGACGAGGCACAAAGGTTATGGTACTCTTTTGCCAGGGCCATGCTTTCAGGAAGGTTATGTGACATATCTCTAGGCCTATCACCTAGATGATGTGAATTCCTTCATGGGCTGCCCACATGGAGCATTGTAACATCAGGGAGGAACCTGCTCCTAGGTGATGTAACTCTCTTGCCTGGGTCCTTTTCTAAGGGGGATTTGTGAATATCTTGGGAACCAGGACCACGTGATGTGGCACTTCAGCCTGGTTTCTTCCCACACATTAAATTGTGACGTATACTTAAAGAAAACACCTAGGTGATATGATTCACTTTTTTTGCCTTAGCCCTGCCTACTAAAGACATTGGGTCCTCTCTTTGAACCCACAGTCTAAGTAATTTGACTCACTTCTGTCTGGGCTTTTACAATCGGAGATCTGTGAGATATTGAGAAGCCCAGTACTCAGGTTGTGTGACTCTTGTCTTGTTGCTAAAGAGTGCCCATGAACAGGAATTTTGCTGTATTTCGGGACCCTACACCCAGATAATGTTACTCTTCTGCCTAGGTCATGCATAAAGAGGGAATTGTGGCATATTGCTTGGCCCAGCACCCTAAGGATGAGACTCTTCTCTCTGTGCCAGGGCCACAGATAGTATTTTGACACATCTTTGGCTCATTCTATATGTATTTTGCCACTGATCAGTTTGCTGGGTTTCTTCCACATGGTTTTGTGTCATATTGAGGGTTCCAGCCCCCAGTTAATGTTACTCCGTTTCTTAGGCCCTGCCTGGAGAAGACATTGGGATAAGTTGCTTGGCACAGCACCTAAATGATGTTAACCTTCTGCCTAGTCTTTCCCCAAAAATGAGATTATGACATATGCCTTGCTTCAGTTCAAAGACATGATGATCAAGTTCGCTGTGTGATTAAGCCAATAGGAGATATTTTGCCTCTCACCCCTAGGTTTTGGTCAATAGTTAAGGTCCTCCATTACACATTTGTTCAAAGATCACAGAATTTTACAACATTAGCTCACATCCTACATTTACAAAGCTTATTGTTGAGGTCCTGAATCAAACAAGTCAATACAACCCAAAGTTCAAATTGTGACTCTCATAAGTGAATCTGACTACAGGTGAGATGGTGAATCCCATTTCTGTACCCAGCTCACAGCCCTAATAATGGTCTCAACTCTGATGCCAGCCGATAGAAGACATGTTGCCTGACATACCTCGGTTTATGGCAATATGGAAGATTATGAGTCCATATAAGTGTGTAGGACTCAGCAAGTTTTGCAACACTCATGCGTGTTGTATAAAGTTTTCAGATGTTGTAGAGAGTATCATACAATGGCAAGGACACTCAGGAGTTTGTGACTGTCATATATATAACTAGATAACAGCTAAAATGCTGCCACATTTAAAGATGAGATTATGTCATATCCCTTGGCCAAGTATACTGGTATTGAGACTTTTTGGTTTAAATTCCTTTCCATGAGGGCAGTGTTACCTATCACTGGATCAGAACGATGATAATGTGACTCTTCTGTCTTGGCCCTGCAAACAACAGTTATTTTCACATATCTCTGGGCCTATTGGCTAGGTGACATTTCTCTCCTGCCAGTGCCCTGCTCACAGGGGACTCTGTGACATATTGCTAGATATGGTATCTAGGTAATATGACTCTCCTCTCCTGCGTGGATCCTGTTCATTGAAGAAATTGTGACATACCACTGAGCACAAATTCTAGGTGATATGGCTCTAATCTTTGTCATGGACTCTGTATAAAGAGGGAATTATTACATATTATTGAGCCCAGAATTCTTGTGGTGTGATTTTCTTTTTTTGAACATGTCTACATTGGGCATGGTGACATATTACTTGAGGCTGTACCCAGGTGATGTGGCTCTTCTCCCTGGTTTCTGCCTGCATGTCAGATTGTGACATTTAACTAGAGAAACACATAGGTGATATGACTCTTCTTTCTACCTGATCCCTGCATGGAGAGAACAGTGGGATATATCTCTGAGACCATGACCTAAGTGAAATGAATCTCTTCTCCTGCCTGGTCTTTACAATGAGAGGATTGTGACATATTGCTGAACACAACACTCATGTTAATAGAAAAACAAAAATTTTGACTATTGCAGGGGCCAGCACACAGATAATGTTACTCTTTTGCCTGGGTCCTACATATATGGGGAGTTGTGGCATATTGCTGGGCCCAGCACCCTAATAATGTGACTTTCATGCCTGTCCCAAAGCCACAGAACATATTTTGACATATCCTGGGCCCATTCTGTTGGCATTTTTGTTCTCACTTCTAGGTTGGTTTGTTTCCACATATGGGATTTTGTCATATTGCAGGATCCAACACCCAGTTAATGTGACTCTAATTCATATACCATTCTTACAGAGGACATTATGACATGATGCTTGTCACAGCATGTAAGTGATGTTACCTTCCTGCCTAGTTTTTTTTTGCCCACAAATGTAAATATATCATATACCTTACTTCAGTTCACAGGCATGATGGACAAACCTATCCTGTGATTCGGCCAATAGGATATATTTTACATTTCATTACTAGGCTTAGGGCAATAGATGAGGTCCTGGGTTTTATATTTCTATCAAATTCAAAAACTTTACAGAAATTAACTCATGATGACTACATTTATTGTGTTGTACAGAGAGTTTTATAAAAGAGATGAGCAAAAATTTAGATTTGGACTCTCCATTAGATACCCAGGTGAAAGCAATGTTGTCACCATCCCACATGTACAAAGCCCACTATTAAGTTTCTGAGTCTAAAAGTGAATAGAGTACAAAGTTGGAATTGTGATCTTCATATGTTGATCTGGCCACAAATGGGATGGTGACTTATTTCTGGATCCAGCTCTCAAGAAAATCATGGATATTATTTCTGAACCCAGCCTACAGAGGATATGTTAACTATTATATCTTTCTTTTGGGTAATGTGTAAGATCATGAATCTGTACAACCATGTAGGCCTCACAGTGGTTTGCAATTCTCATGAAGGCTGTACAAAGCCTTTCAAAGCTGTAGAGTGTCATCAAATGATCCTGGAAACACATGAGATTGTGTTTCTCATATTCACACCCAGCTCACAGCAAATCATGTCACCCTGAAAGACAAGGAGTTCTGGCATATTATGAGGCCTAGTACTCAGATGTTGAGATTTTTGCCTTAAATTCCTTCCCATGGATTCATTGTGACATATCCCTGGGTTAGAATTATAATAATGTGACTCTTCTACCTTGACCCTGAAAACAGGGAATATTATCACATATCTCTGGGCCCATAAGCTAGGTGATTTTTCTCTCCTATTTGTGCCCTGCCCCCAGAAGACATTGTGAAATATCAGTTTACTTAATAATTAGAAAATCTGACTATCCTCTCCTGCCTGAGCCCTGCTCACCATAGAAGTTGTGACATACTGCTGATTGCAATACCTAGGTGATGTAGATCTCCTTCATATTCTAGACTCTTTCAAGAGAAGAGATTATTACATATTGCAGAGCTCAGTACCTAGGTTGTGGGACATTCCTCATTTTCTTCTTTCCTGTCCACAATGGGCTTGGTGACATACTATTTTAGGCTGTACCCAGGTGATGTGACTCTTCTGACTAGGCCAAGCCAAAAAATGAGTATACACTCTTTCACTGGCTCAGCACCCAGGTGAAGTGATGTGACTCTTCTGATTGGTCCCAGCCTACAAATAAGATTATACTATATAACTGGCTCAGCACCAAGGTAATGTGACTCTCCTGACTTTTTTTCTGCTCACAGGTCCAGTTGTGACATATATGTGGTTTAAGCACACATGCACAATAATAATTCTCATACCTGGCCCAATCCAGTAGAGACTCTCACAGCCAGTCTTATGGCAATGGGTAAAGTCCTGTATTTTTCACTAGTATAAATTTCATGAAGGATTATAACACTCAGGTATATCATATAAAACCTTAATGATGCAAAGAGTGTAATAACAGAAACCAGCAACGCGGTGACAATGTGACCCTTGCATGCACACTTAGCTGACACAATTGACATTCTTACACATGAACAGGGCCTAGGAATGAGGTACTAAATCTCACACATAAAAAGCAGTGAAAGATTGAAATAATTACTCTCATATGTGGATCTCATTCACAGGTGACTTAGTAACATATGAACCATGATTCAACATGCCTGTAGTGCTGTGACTCCCTTACTGGAAAACCATCTTCAAGTGTGATTGGGGCTCTTGTACATGCATCTTGCTCATTGTTGAGATTGCGACTCCTCTACTTCAACCCAAGTCACAGAAAAAATTGAATCACATACACAGAAGAAATACTTTTGTGGGATGTGAAACTTATTTCCAAATCTTTCTGAGAACATAAAAAGGAGAGGCAACTTTGCCTAGCATATGAATAATCTGACTCTTTTCTACTCCTAGGCCACAGATTAAATTGTACCATATATATTCCTTACGTGCCGTATATAACAGCTTCCAGAGCTCCCATTGCAAAGGGCACTTTTATATGTCACTGGGACAATCACCCAAGTGATGTAAGTTATCTGCCTGAAAACTGCCTACAAGGAGAATTGTGTCTTAAATCTAGGCATATCACATAAGTTATGTGAGTCCCTTCTACTGCCTTGGCCCTGCACTTACACTGCTATATGACACATAACTGGGTACTGCACCCAGGTGATGAGATTCTTGTTTTTGAGCTCTGCAAACAGGAAGAATTGGAACATATCATTTGGCTCAGCACCTAGGTGATGCTTCTTCAATTTTTCCTGGGTCCTGACCACAGGGAAATAGTGATGTACTGCTGCACACAGCATGTAGTTAAGGTCACTCTCCAGACTTGGTACTGCATATAAGGGCCATTGTGACGTATACTTGGGTCAGTTGCCTAGGCTAAGTGAGTCTCCTTTCTTTCCAAAGTCCTGCCCTCATAGTGGATTTTGATATATCACTGAAAGCAGCATCCAGATGATATGGCTCTTCTGCCAGGGTCCTACCACAAAGTGTATTGTGACATTTTACTGGACCCACACATACATAGTTGATGTGACTTTCTTGCCTTCTCTCTGGCTACAGGTGATATTGTGCCATATACCTGAGAACATAACCAAACCTAATATTCAGTGTGGTGACTCTTATTCTTACACCTTCCCACAAGTCTAATTGTGACTTACAACTTTGCCCAGCTCCTGAGTGATTTAATAATTCTGCCTAGGTATAGCCCACAGATGAGATTTTAACAAATACTTGAGCCAAGTACCTTGATGATTTCACTGTGCTATCTTAAAAATGTCCTTGGGGGTATTGTAACATATTTCTGGATCTAGAATTTAGGTTACATGACTCTCCTCTTCTGTCTGTACCCTGCTTTCTTTGGTAATTGTAGCTTTTCTAAACACTGCATCCAAATAATATTAATACCTTGCCTGTTGGCTTTGACAACAGGAGGCATTGTGACATATTATGGAGCCCATCATTTATGTGATATGACTCTCCTCTTCTCCCTGGACACTGCCTACAAGGGACATTGTGCCACAGAGCTAGACCTAACACACAAGGTATGTGACATTTCTGACAGGATACTTAGTACAAAGACAATATTGGAATATTTCTGGCCCAGCATTTATGTGATGTGGTCATTCTTCCTGCTTCATAACCACAGAGGGAATTGTAACATATACTTAGGCACAGGTCACAGCAATGATAATGACTCTTATATGTGGACTCAGCTAATAGGGGATACTCCCATAAGTATCCCCTATTATCTAAACATACTCTCAAAAGTATCTAAACATACTCTCATAAGTATGTTTAGAGACAGGCATGACATCCTGCATCAGCTTCTTGTGCAAACATCAGAAATGTTTATAACACTCACACATATTTTACTAAGTCTTTGGCTTATACAGACTGAGTCAAAGCAGGGCTCAGCACATAGGTGAAATTGTGAGTCTTCTTTGCACACCCAGCTGATAGTAAGGATTGTCATCATCTCACATGGATGATGCCATTGTCACACGTGAAAACAGGTCATGTGTAGTATTCTAAATCTCATCTTTGGAATTTTCTGACAGTGCGAATGTTTTATAGATTTTTTTCAACAACCTGTGTAATTCGACTCTCCAGAATGCTTCCAGTCCATATATGGGGTTGTGATATCTACCTAGTCCTACCTCAAAGTGATATTACTCTCCTGTCTGGACCCTCTTAACAGTAAGAATGGTGATATATCACTGGATCTAGCACCCATGTTATATTACATTCTTGCCTGCAGCACACCCAACAAAATTATTGTGAAATATTTCTGTGTCCACCTCATAAGCAATGTAACTCTTCTCTCTGGAATGGGCCTTGAACAAAGAAAAGGTAGTGACATGATTCAAGGCCAAGAAAACAGGTGAGGCTACCCTTTTGCCAAAGCCATGCCCAAAAGAGAGGATTTTGAAATATCTCTGGTTATGTGGCTCTCCTGCTTGGGCACTGCCAACTTGGAGCATGACATATTTCAAGGCCAGGCACAGAGGTGATGGTACTCTTTTGCCAGGGCTATGCTTCATAGAGGACATTGTGACATATCTTTGGCCCTATCACCTTGGTAAAGTGACTTCCTCCTTTGATACCACCCACATGGAGCAATGTGGCATAAGCCGAGAAACTGCATGTAGGTGATGTAACTCCACTGTCTGGTTGATGTCCTAAGAGAGACTTGTGAAATATCTCAGGATGCAGTACCCAAGTGATGTGGCTCTCCTGTCTATTTTCTGCCCACTTGTTACACTGTGACATATTCCGTGGGAAACATGCATGTGATATGAATCTCCTTGACCACCTGAGCCCTGCCTACTAGGGACATTGGGATACATCTCTGAGCCCATGACCTAAGTAATATGACTCTCTTCTGCCAGGGCCTTTAAAATGGCAGGATTGTGACATATTGCTGAGCCCAACATTAACATCGTGTGACTCTATTCTTTTTTCTGAACCATGACCAGAAAGAAATTATGACCTATTGGACTCAGATGATGTTACTTTTTTGCCAAAGTGAATAAAGAGAAAATTATTGCAGATGGTGGGCCAATCACCCTGATGATGCTACTGTCATGCCTGTGACAGAGCCACAGGAAGTATTTTGATATATCTTTGGTTTATTCTGTAGGTGTTTTGGCTCTTACCCCTTTGCTAAGATTTTTCATATGTGGAATTCTGTAATATTACATGACAGAGCCACAGGAAGTATTCTGACATATCTTTTGTTTATTCCGTAGGTGTTTTGGCTCTTACCCCTTTGCTAAGTTTTTTCATATGCAGAATTCTGTAATATTACCTGTTCCAGCACCCAGTTAATGTAAGCCTTCTTCCTAGGTTCTGCCTAGAGAGGACATTGTGACATGTTAATTGCCATATCAGCTATGTGATGTTACTCTTTTCCCTATTTTTTTGGCCCACAAATGGGATTATGACATATACCTTGCTTCAGCTTAAAGGTATGATGGTCACTTATATTAGGATTCAGGCAAGAGAAGATATTTTGCCTCTTGTTGCTAGTCTTGGGGCAATAGGTAAAATTCTGGGTTGGAAATTTGTACAAAGCTCATTGAAGTTTACAGCACTAGTTTATCTTGTATAAACTATTTGGGTGATACAGAGTTTCAAAACAAGTCCCAGCAGAGTTAAGATTGTGACTCTCAATTAAACAACCAGGTGAAAGTAAAAGATATCACTATTTCACATTTACCAAGCCCACTGTTGGTGTACTGAGTTTAACAACTGAAGATAATGTAAAGATAAAATTGTGGCTCTCATATATGGATCTGGCCACAGGTATGATTGTGACTCACTTTTGACCAAGCCCACAGGTATAAAATAAGTCTGATTCCTGATATCAGCCTAAATGAGAGATGTTTGCTATCGTACCTGTGTGTAATGCAATATATGAGATTGTGATTTAATATACGCATGTGGGCCTCAGAGTAGTTTGCAACTCTCATGCAAGCCATATAAAGCCCTCAGACATTCTAGAGAGTGTCATAGGATGAGCCAGCACACATGTGACATTGTGACTCATATACACACCAAGCTAACAGTTAAAGGTGTCACTCTCAAAGATGAGGAGATTGTGTCTTATCTCTGGTCCTATTACCCAGGTGTTAAAACTTGCATAAATTTTTTCCCATGTTTGCATTGTGATATATCATTGGTTTAGAATCATAACAATATGACTCCTCTGCCTGGGCTTTGCCCCAAAATGTATATTATCACAGATCTCTGAGCCTATCAACTAGGTGATTTCTTTATTTTGCCTGTGCTCTACCCCCAAGGAAAATTATGACATCTCTTGAAGTAGTATCTGGAAATGTGATGCTTGTCTCCTGCCTAGACCCTGACCACTGAATGAATTGCGACATACAGCTGAGTACAAAACCTAGGTAATGCAACTCTCCTCCTTATACTGGAGTCAGCCAAATGAGGTAATTACTATATATTGCTGAGCCCATCACCTAGGTGGTGTGACTCTCCTCTTTTTCTTCAAACCTGTCTACAGTGGACATGATGCCATATTACTTGCTGCAGTACCCAGGTGATGTGACACTTCTGACTTGGCCCTGCCTGCAAAGGAGATTACAATGTATCCTGAGTTCAGAATCCAGGTGATGAGACTCTCCCCCCTTGCTTCTGCTCACAGGTTAAGTTATGACATATAACTGGGTTCAGCCCACATGCACAAATATAAGGGTCATACGTAGAATCAGAGAGATATTTTGATTCTTATAGCCAGTCTTATAGCCACAAGTAAAGTACTATGTCTCCCAATGGCCTAAATTTCACAGAGGATTATGACACTCTGACATAGTATATAAAGTCTGAATGGTAAAAACAGTGTTATAACAGGGAACAGGAAAGAGGTACGATTGTGACTCTTGAATGTGCAGCCAGCTGATCCAGTATTCATTCTCTCACAAGAACAGGGCCTAGAAATAAGGTGTTAAACCTCATAAACAGAGCAGTCAAAGGTTAAAATTGCTCCTCTCCTATATGGTTAGTTTGGTGATGCATGATTCAGCACACCTGTGGGGTTGTGACTCCTCTATTGGAACACAATCTTCAAGTAAAATTGGGCATCTTATGCATGAATCTTGACCATTGATAAGACTGTGACTCCTCTGCTTTGACCCAACTCACAGGAAGTGTTGATTCACATACACAAATCCAGGACTTGTGTGGTACTGGGAAACTTATTTCTAAATATTTCCTAGCATGTAATTAGGACATAAAAGTTAGCTGAGTGCTTGAATAATTTGACCATCGTACACCTAAGCGTAGGTGCCTGGGTGTGCATATAAAGGGAAATTTTACATATTACTGGGACCAGCACTCATGTAATGTGAATTATTTGCCTTATACCTGCCTATAAAAGGCATTATGGCTTATATCTACATTCATCATGTAAGTGATGTGACTCCCTTCTACTGCCATGCCCCTGGACTTACACTGCATTGTGACACATAACTGGACACTGCACCCAGGTGATGTGACTCTCCATTTTGGGTTCTGCCAACAGAAAGCTTTGTAACGTATCACTTAACTCAGCACCTAGGTGATGTTTCTCCTGTCTTACATCACCCTGACCAAAGGGGAGATTGTGATATTGCTAAACCCAACACCAAGGTGAGGTCACTTTTGTACCTTGGTTTTGCAGATAGCAACCAGTGTGACATATGTCTAAGATAGTTGGCTAGGTGAAGATGGTCTCCTCACCTACCTAAGTCCTACCCACATAGGGGATTTTGATATATCACTAAAACCAGCTTGCAGGTAATGTGACTCCCTTTCCAAGGTCCTGCTTACAAGAAAGATTGCTGCATATCACGGGACCAGTACCCACCAAGGTGATGTGATCTTCCTGCTTGCTCTCTGCTTACAGGTGATATTGCGCCATATACCTGATACCAGACAAAAGGACTAATCATGACTCTTAAACATGGACCCAGGTCATCGGCAAGATGGTGACTCCCATTCCTGGAAATTTCAACCAGTATTATTGTTATATATACCTTTGCCTAGCTTTAATAATCCTGCCTAGGTGTAGCCCACAAATGAGTTTTGGAAACATACCTCTGGTGAGCACCTTTGTGATTTACTCTCCTGTCTTAATAACATCCTAAGGAAAGACTATAACATGTCTCTGGACCCACCATCTAGTTACCTGACTCTCCTCTCCTGCCTGGACCCTGCTTCCACTGGGGATTATAGCTTTTCTAAGCACTGCATCTAAACAATATGACTCTCTTGCCTGGTCCTTTCAATGGGACACATCGTGACACATCTCTGGCCTATTATTTAAGTGATATGAGACTCCTCTTCTTTCTAGACACTGCCCACAAGGGGCATTATGCCATACATCTGGGAGTAACCCTCAAGTTACACAAGTTTTCTGCCAGGAACATGTCTACAAGAAAAGTACTGGAAAATTTCTGGTTCAGCATTTAGGTGACTTAGATGTCATGTCTGTTTCATTACCACAGAGTAAGTTGTGACATATACCTAGGCACAACTTACTGGTATAATGACTCCTGTATATGGACCCCAGAAATAAAGGTAACTTTGACACTTCTAACTTACTTTAGAAACATAAGTGAATTGGCTGGTCATGGTGGCTCAGGCCTGTAATCCCACCACTTTGGGAAGGTGAGTCAGGTGGAGCACGAGGTCAAAAGACTGAGACCATACTGACCAACATAGTGAAACTCCACTCTGCTAAAAATACAAAAAGGTGTCTGGGCACGGTGGTGCGCTACTGGAGTCCAAATTAGTCAGGAGGCTGAGGCAGGCAAATTACTTGAACCCGGGAGTCAGAGGTTGCAGGGAGTGGAGATTGCACCACTGTACTCCAGCCTGGGTGACAGACTCCATCTTAAAAATAAATAAATAAATAATAAAAAAAGAAAAGAGAAAGAAGGAAGAAAGAAAGAAAGAAAGAAAAAGAAAGAAAGAAAGAAAGAAAGAAAGAAAGAAAGAAAGAAAGAAAGAGAAAGAAAAAAGACAGAAAGAAAGAGAAAGAAAGAAAGAAAGAAAGAAAGAAAGAAAGAAAGAAAGAAAGAAAGAAAGAAAGAAAGAAAGAAAGAAAGACAAGCGTGAATAAATCTATTTCTGGTAAAAAAAAGTTTAAAGATTATAACAGCCTCAGATAACTTATAAAGCCCTTGGCTTGCACAGAGAGTGTAATAACATAATCCATCAGAATGATGAAATTGTGAGTCTCGAATGCACACCCAGCTGACAGGAAAGACTGTCACTGTCTGAAATATATGAAGCCAACTGTCATTCATGAAAACAGGACATGTGTGGCAGTGTAACTCTCCTTTCAGGAATTTTCTCCCAGTGTCATTTTGATAAAAATATTTGCTGAGCATCTGTGTGATTTGACTCTTCTTACTGGTTCCAGCCTGTGGATGATACTGTTATTTCTACCTGGGCCAACCTCTTGGTGATATGACTCTCCTGCCTGGGCCCTGCTCTAAGTAACAGTCATGACATATCACTAGGTCCAGCACACGAGTCATGTTACACTTTTGCCTGAGCCATTCCCACAGAAATCATTGTGACATATTGCTGTGTCAACTACTTAGGTGATGCAGCTCTACTCATGGTAATGGACCCTTCGTACAGTGGGGAATAGTATCATACGGCTCAGTCAGCCACATAGATGACAGTAATCTTTTACTAGGGCCATGTCCTAAAGATGGCATTGTGACAAATTTCTGACACTAACAGTTAGATGATGTTGCTTCACTGCTTGAGCCCTGCTTACCTGGATAGTGACTTATTACTACGCTTGACAAACAGGGGATGGTACTCTTTTGTCAGGGCCATGCCTTAGAAAGATATTTTGATGTATTTCTGGCCTGTTATCTAGATGATGTGACTACTTTCTGAGCCCTGCCCACATGGAGCATTGTGACATAATGGTACAAACTGCAACTGTTGTAATGTTTTGTGTGGGTACTGTCTTAAGGGAACTTTGTGTGATATATCTCAAGAGCCAGCATCAAGGTGATGAGGCTCCTTTGCCAGCTTTCACCTCACATGTTAGACTGTGTTATATACCTAGGGCATCATCTACATGATATGACTCTTCCCTTCTGCCTGAACACTGCCTCCTTGAAACATTGGGTCATATATCTGAGTCTGTTCTTAAGTGATGTGAATCTTTTCTTCTGCCTGAGTCTTTACAATAGGGTGATTTGACATATTGCTAAGCTGAATACTTAGGTACTATGACGCTTCTTTTTTTCCCCAACCATGCCCAAGGAAAAGATTTTTGATGTATTGCAGGGCCCAGCACCCAGATAATCTTCTGCTTCTGCCTGGGTCCTGCATAAAGAGACAATTATGTCATATTGCTGGGCCCCTAAGCCTGATGATGTAGCACTCCTTCCTGTGCCAGAGCAATATAAAGTATTTTTACATATTATAGACCCATTCAGTAGGTGTTTTTGGTTTCATCATTTGTCTGGGGTTATTTTTTGTTCCACATTTTGGATTGTGTCACATAGCTGGGTACAGCATCAATGTAATGTAACCCTCACTTCTAGAGTGTGCCTAGAGAGGACATTGTGACATATTGCTTGGCACAGCACCTAAATTGTGCTACCCTCCTGCCAAGTTTTTTTCTACAGATGGGATTTTGAAATTTACCTTGCTTCATTTCAAAGGCACAATAAACAAACTTATATTGGAATTCCACCAATAGTAGATATTTTGCCTGTCATCGCTACACTTAGGGCAATAGGTAAGGTTATGAGTGGCATATTTGCATGAAGCTTACAGAAATTTGCAGCAGTAATTCATATTGTTAACTTTTTGGCCGGTACATGGAGTTTTATAACAGGGTGCAGCAAAAGAAGATTGTGACTCTTGATTACACATGCGGGTGAGAGATAAAGTTTTCAGCATCCCATATTTACAAAGACCACTATTAAAGCCTTCAGTCTAACAAGTAAATAAAGTACAAAGATGGAATTATGACTTTCATATGTGTGTCTTGCTACAATTCAGATGGTGACTCATTTCTGGACCAAGATCACAGGCATTATAATGGGTCTCCTGTCTGAGCCCAGCCTACAAGAGAGATGTTGACTATCGTAACTGGGTTTAAAGCAACATGTAAGATTGTGAGTCAACAGGGGCATGTAGGCCTCAGAATGGATTGCAAATTTCATGCATGTTGCATAAAGCCTTTGGATGTTGTAGAGTGTGTCATGCAATGACCGAGAAAACATGTTATCTAGGGAGCCTCCCTGAAACTATTGCTATGGCATAAAAGATGAAATGCTCCTGATAATTGTAAATCCAAAATTACATGCAGGATTGTGTAAAGACAATGCCAGGTTGGGCTACCAGAATGAGCCAACAGGTCGTAATGTGCTTCCCCCTGCAGAGAGCCTATAAACAGATGTGCAGTCAGGGAGGTTTCACATCACCAAGATTCCTACCCCAGAAAAGCAGATGTTCATAGCTCTGGGAATGGAATGAGACCTTTGTTGAGAGTCTATAAGTGGATGATGAGGGGCGCCTGCTCATATGGATAAGATAGAGTTATAAATGCCCTTATCTTGCCATGGCTCTTCTAATCCTCTTTAGGGTTAAGGCATACTCCCTTCTGAGAATTTGTGGTCTAACTAGTTGTCTAGCTTCACGTCCTGATTCCATTGATTCTTTGCAACCAGCTTTTGCTGCCACTGTTATTGCTGATTAATATCTTGCTGATCACAGGTTATGGAAAGACTGTGTTTCTGTTTTAAGTCTCTGTTAGAAATTGCTGATGCATACACTATATTGTAAATTTTTTATCTTCGTATACTGTACTTCTGCATACATACCAATGCTATGTTAAAGAATTACTTCATCCCCATGTGACCATCTCACCTCATAATCAAATGATGCTAAATCCCTCACTAACCTACCCCCACCCTCACTAAACTTAATAATAAATGCTGGTATATCCAGTGCATTGGCAGCATCACAGGACCAGAAGACGGTGACCCCCCTGAACCCAGCTTTCACTATCTTGTGTGTGTCTTTTATTTCTCGACCTGCCGATCCACCTGGAAACAAAGAAAGAGCCCCTGTTGCATTTCGGGCTGCTGGCCAGATCCCACAATATCTCGCACCTAACATGGCCTTCTTTGTTCCTTGGCTCAGTGCACTCTGAGTGGGGTTTCCTGATGACTAGTCTTCAGTCTCGACTGTAAGGTCTCCAGGTATGCCTTTTCCGACCCTCCCCTCCTTTTGGGTTTGTTGACTGGTATTGTTCCAGGGTTATCACGGGGCAATCACAGTCTAAACACCAGGCTTATCTGTCTTTTATTAACTTCTTAAACAGGGTGGAATCAAGGCTGATTCCAATAACCATATGCTCTTATTTCAGACTATTGAAAAACATTGTTCTTGGTTCCCTGACAAAGGTTTTATGGACCTGTTAAACTGTGATAGAGTTGATGCCACACTCCAACAACTCATGAGAGATGGTGTACTTCATATTTCTGTCTGGACTGACAGGTCTCTTATTCATGTTTCTTTACTTCCTTTTCTGTCTGGTGATCCTCTTCAACTGCCAAAAGTTAACTCCGATGATCAGCCACTCCTTTTACTTGGGTACCTGATTCCCCTACTAGTCTTCCTTCTGATCATGAGGAGGAATTAAATGTCTCCTTGTTTTCTCCCTAAGAGTAAGTACCTGGTGATGATCCCCTCCCTCTGCCTATCTTGGAACCTGTATATGTTAACTTTTCTTCTAGTAATCTGTTGCCCCCTCTGCCAGAGGAGGATGTTTGGTATTCATCTGAACGGCCTGTTTCTTGTTCCTCTCATCCATTTGGACCTCTCCCCTCTTCTAAGCCTACTGTTTCTTTCAACGCTCTGGGATCCTTTCTTTCAGAGGCTTGGAATCCTGCTTCCCCCCGTCTACCTCCCGGCGCCTTTGCTCTCCTTCTCTCCTTTCCTCTGCCCTGATAGACCTGTCTACACTTGTATTCAGAAGGTGATGGGTAGAGCTAGGGCTTCTTGTGGTTTGGATGCCTGGCAGTTCCCCATAGCCATAGTCCTTAAATCTGAGGGTACAGGAGAGTGGGGCAATGGCACTGTTAAAGGCCAGCGATATTATGAACCTTTCTCTTTGCAACTCCTTAAAGATTTTAAATCTGCTTGTGATCAATATAGACCAAATTCTCCTTATGTCAAAACTGTTCTACATTCCCTTACTACTGAAAAACAGCTTGTTCCTATTGATTGGAATTTGTTAGTTCATGCTTCTCTTACCCCTTCTCTATTCCTACCGTTTAAGACATGATGGTCAGAAGAGGCCATGATTCAAACTTCTATAAATTCTGAAAATGGGACTGAAGGGTTTTATGCTATGCTTATGGGTACTAGTGATTTGTGAAATACTCTTGCTTGACAACTGGAATATTATCAACATATTGTAACTCAGGTTACTCAAGTGTGTTTACGAGCATCGGAACGTATTCAAGATGCAGGCAAGACCCCTTTATCTTTTAATGCTGTTAATCCAGGTCCTTCTGAACCCTATCATGATTTCCCGTCTCAACTCAAAGATCCTGCTGAAAAGGCTATTTCTGATACTAGAGCAAGAGATGTGGTTATCCGACGTATTGTGTTTGAAAATGCTAATATTGAGTGTCTGGCTGCCATATCACCATTACATCATAAGACTCAAAACATACCTGATTATGCCATAATTCCTTCCTACATTAGAGCCTGTGATGGCACTGGTTCTGAAATTCATAAAGCTGTGCTCAGGGCTCAAGCCATGACTTCGTCCTTAAAAGTGGCTGCTGTTATTCCTAGTGTTCCTGCAACATGTGTGCCCAATACTTTCCCTAGTACTTGTTATAAATGTATGGGAGTAGAACACTTAAAAAAATCTTGCCCTTTTCTTAATGCTAACCCCCAACAACCTGCTCCACAAACTCCAGATTTACAGAGAGTACCTGCTACTGTTTGCCCACAATGTAAAAAACGTAAACATTCGATGAATTCTTGTCGATCTAAATTCGATATAAGCGGTAATCCCTTTCCTCCTTTAATGTGGCCAACACTGTTTCTACTCCTGTTCCACTACAGGGAAACCGGGGGAGGAGCCAGCCTGGGATCTGGGCTCCGGGGTTTCATTTACTCCTCCCTGAGGCTACCCCTATAACTGCACCAGTGAAGCCACAGATTCAAGTACAAACAGTGCCACAGACATTACCTCAAATTCAATACCCACAACCCAGTGCCAATTACCCCCTCCTCCTGTCCCAGTACAATGCCTGTCCACCTCCACCACAGGATAGGGCTCAATAGATTTGTGTAGTACTCTCCCTTTGCCCTTACTCCCTGGAGAACAACCCGTCCTTGCTTGACTGGAGCTAAAGGGCCTTTACCTAAAGGTTATATTGGCTTAATTCTTGGCGGGGCTTCATTAGCCTCAAAAGGTGTAATTGTTCATAGTGGCCTGGCCTTATACTTGCCAACACTACAGATGAAATTTGGTTATTTCTACCAAATCTCCCATTTTCATTGAACCAGGAGAAAGCATTGCTCAATTACTACTTCTCCCTGCACTGTGCCCCTCCGCAGAATCTGCCACTGCAACTGTAGTATTAAAATTTCCGGAAAAATGTTTGAAAGTTTAGTCAACACGGGGGCTGATCTTTCTATAAACATTGCTAATCAGTGGCCTTTCTCTTGGCCCAAACAGCCCTCTTCAACTAATTTAGTAGGAGTTGGAAAGTCATTTGACATATATGGAAGTTCTCTTATGCTTCCTTCTACAGGACCTGATGACCAAATTTGCACTATTCAACCTTTTATCACTCCAATTACCGTAAACTTACAGGGACATGACTTACTACAACAATGGGGGACTGAAGTATCTATCCACTTATCAAATTATAGTGAAGCTAGCAAAAACGTGATATATAAAATGAATTTTGTTCCTGGAAAAAGATTGGGAATTAAAGGAGAGGGAATTGAAGAGCCCTTGGAACCCTCCCAAAACTTAATAAATCAGGAATTTGATACACTTTTTAGGTGCTGTCACTGCTATGCCTCCCCCACCAATCCCTTTACAATGAATGTGTGAGTCACCTGTTTGGGTAGAGCAGTGGCCTCTTTCCAAACACAAGTTGGAGGCCTTAATTGAAGTTGTTAATGATTTACTACAAGCGAACGCTATTGAGACCTTCCTGTTTCCATTGAACTCCCATGTATTTGTTGTACCAAAAAAAGTCAGGAAATTGGAGGACGGTAACAGACTTCAGAGCTGTTAATGCAGTTATTAAACCTCTGGGGGTGTTACAACCCGATATGTCCCCCCACTTCATGATTCCTAAGGAATGGCCGTTAATTATCATTGACCTTAAGGACTGCTTTTTCCATATTCCTTTAGACAAGTCAGACTGAAAAATTTGCTCTCACTATACCTTCCATTAACAATTCACATCCTGCAGCTAGATATCAATGGAAAGTTTTACCTCAAGGAATGATTAACAGTCCTACTATTTGTTAGTTGTTTGTTGGTACTGTGTTACGACCTATCCTACAGACTTTAAAATAATTACATTCTTCACTATATGGAAGATATACTGATTGCTGTTCCCACTAAAGGTGAAGTAATTCAATGTTTTACCTCTTGAATTACCTCTTGAAATTAGCTGTTGCCAAAGCAGGACTCTACATCACTCCTGATAAAATTCAACAAGTCACTCCTTTTCTGTCCTTAGGAATGCATCTAGAAGCTTTCTTCATTAAGCCCCAAAAAGTCAAACTTCGTACTGACAATTTAAACACCTTAAATGATTTTCAAAAATTACTAGGTGACATCAATTATCTCAGACCAACCCTAGCCATCCCTACTTATGCATTATCTCATCTATTTGCCACTTTATCAGGAGATGCAAATTTAAACAGTCCTCACTCTATCTGAACCAGCAAAACAAGAGTTGCCTTTTGTAGGACAATTAGTGAGAGAGGCACAAGTCTCTAATATTGACCCAAAGTTGTATTTATAATTTTTAGTTTTTTCCTTCCATCCACTCTCCTGTGGGACTTATAGTATTATAAGTATTATATGATTCTCTAGTTGAATGGGTATTTCTTCCTCATTCAGCCCCTGAAACTCTTTCAATATATCTTGATCAAATGGTCACTTTAATTGGGGTAGGACCTCAACATATCACTACAATTTCTGGCTTTTATCCAAATATTACTGTAGTCCTTTTGTCAAAAGATGAAGTCAAAAATGCCTTTTCTACATCTTTGTGCTCGCAGACTAATCTGGTTGACTTCATTGGCACTATTGATAATCATTTGCCTAAGTCCAAATTCTTTCAATTTCTATGAAATACTTCCTGGATTCTACCAAAACTTACTCGTTCATCACCACTAGAGGAAGCCGTTACCATTTTTACTGATGGATCCAGTAATGGAAAGGCAGGGTGTGTAGGACCAAAAATAAAGTCATTTCTACTCCATATACTTCTGCTCAAAAAGCCAAGTTGTTTGCTGTCATCTCTGAATTACAGGATTTTGATCAGCCTCTTAATGTCTCTGACTCAGCTTCTGTAGTCCATGCCACTAAGGCAATAGAAATAGCTACCATCAAAAATATTGCTGACACTAATCTGTTTTCCTTGTTCTCTTTCTTACAAAAAAACTGTCAGAAACTGAAACCACCCTTTTTTCATCATTCACAATTGTTCTCATACTAATTTGCCCGGACCTTTATCCAGTGGTTATCATAAAGTTGATACTCTAGTTTCTCTAGCCATTACAGATGCAGAACAATTTCATCAACTCACTCATACTAATCTCTCAGGTCTTAAACATAAATATTCTTTCAGTTGGAAACAAGCTAAACAAATTGTACAACACAGTTCTCAATGTCAAGTTCTTGTCTTACCCACACAACCTCCCTGACTTAATCCTCGAGGCCTTTCTCCTAATGCTATTTGGCAAATGGATGTTACTTATGTTCCTTCTTTTGGAAAATTAGCTTATATGCATGTCACAGTTGACACCATTTCCAATTTCATCTGGGCTATCCGTCAAATAGGAGAAGCCTCTTCTTACACTAAAAAACATGTTTTCATGTTTTCCAGTTATGGGAATTCCTAGAGCTCAAAACAGACAATGGTCCAGCCTATTGCAGTAAAGCCTTTAAAATTTTTTTTTGATCAGTGGCATATTAAACATATTACTGGTATTCCTTATAACCCACAAGGTCAAGCTATTGTAGAAAGAAGTAACAGAACTTTAAAATTACAATTACTGAAACAAAAAGAAGGGGATAAGGAGTTGTCTACCACTCACGTACAACTAAACTTGGCATTGTTCACATTAAATTTTCTTAATATTCCTAAATCCAGTTTGGTTACCACTGCTGAAAAACATTTCTCTGGTAACCATCCCACAGTAAACCAAGGATGGAAAGTATGGTGGAAAGATGTTTAATCTAATATATGTTCAAAAGTCTCTATTTTAACGTGGGGAAGACACTATGCTTGTGTTTCCCCAGGTGAACATCAATCTCCTGTTTGGATTCCTACTAGACACCTGAAGTTTTGTACTGAAGATGCATGCAACAACAAGGTAGAGGCATTTGCTGAGAAAACACCAAAGCAGGAAACAACTAACACATCCAATGTCAAAAAGAAAAAAATAATCATGCTAACTCCTTTATAACAGACATTCCAGTCAGACATCCTGAACAACTCTTCTTCAGTGATCCAGGTTCATCTCAACCTCTGCCTCCTCCTGATGACACTGATGCTTCTACACTCTGTCACTCCACAGACTGTCGAAAGTATACATATTGGGCCTATATTCCTTTTCCTTCTCGTATTTGAGCTGTGACATGGATGGATGCTCCTCTCACGGTCTGCATTAATGATAGTATTTGGATGCCTGGTCCTATAGATGATCATTGTCCTGCCCAAACTTCAGAAGAAGGAATCCCTTTTAATATCACTTTAGGTTTTAGGTATCCACCTTTGTGCCTAGGACCCACTAATGGATATCTCTCATTAGATATTCAAACTTGGGTGGTCACACTACCATCTGGTCACTCTGTCCATCCTTTAGGACGGTTGGTATGAGGTCTCTCAATAAAACTTCTAAGGCAGATCAAAATAGTATTTGCTGATTATATTCCCAATATAAGAATTAGGACCTGTGTGTCCTCTCAACTTGTCTCCAAATGCTGACAAATTAATATGGAAGGATTGTGTTAGTCCAGAAGGAAGTGTGCTATTCAATTTTTCTCACTACACCATTGCTGATTGGGCCTCAAAAGATCATATTACTAGTGACTGTTCTCAAGGTCACAGAGATTGTCAACATTTTCTCTATGATATTACTCAACAAAAATTAGTGACAAGCCTCCCCTATTATATCATAAATTTAACTACTTTATTCCTTTTAAATGGAAAGGGGCAGGGGTTGCCCCTCTAAAGCCAAGGCTTATTGATCCCCACTTAGGAGCTGAACATTCAGAATTATGAAGATTAACCATAGCTATGACTAGTATCAGAGTTTGGGCTGGGGAAAGTGTTATAAGTAAATCTACCTTGTCACCTAAAAAACTAATACAACAAATTGATTCACACTATTATCCCCACACAGCCAAAAATATCACTATGGCAATCATCAGAAGGTCAATTCAAAGATGGGACAGTGAAGATTATGAGGACTTATACCCCCCATTGCTAATGTCCCCCCACCACCTCCCATACAACGTATTCCCCACATCCCACATTCACAAAAAAAAGTACTATCCCAAAATACATATATTATCTATACGGAGTCTAACAAAACTATACCTCTTAAAAGTTGTGTTAAACCACCATATATGTTATTAGTAGGAAAGATGCATATTAGTTAAAAAAACAACATGATTACCTGTGTTAATTGTTACTTGTATACTTGTATCAACTCATCCTTTAACCAATATCATAGTATTTTAATATCAGAGCCAGAGATGGTATTTGGCTCCCTGTAGTCTTACATAGGCCTTGGGAATCTTCCCCTTCTATACATGTTATTAAAAATATTCTACAGAAATTCTTAAAAGGAGTAAACAATTTATTTTTACATTAATGGCAGTAATAATGGGTTTGATTGCTGTTACTGTGACTGCTGCTACTGCTGGGGTTGCATTACATCAATCTATTCAAACTGTTCATTTTGTGGATAAATGGCAAAAAAATCTACTCAGATGTAGAATTCTCACTCAGGTGTTGATAAAAAATTGGTCAATCAAATTAATGATCTAAGACAAACTATTATATGGATGGGAGATATAATGTGTTCACAATTGGGAATCAGTAAAATACCATTTTCAAGGAAGTGAAGATACTTTAAGTGTGGACAGGAGCAAGCTAAAAGAACAGATTTTTGAGACCTCTCAGACACAGTTAACTGCTTTATCTGGTGCTAAAGTTTTAGACCGTATCTCTGAGAGGTTATCTAATCTCTACCTAATTCAATGGATAAAATCTTTTGGAGTACCCACCATCATTAATTTTCTTCTGTGTATAATTTATGCTATTGGTTTATTGTTCATGAATAAAATTGGAAAAAAAATTCTTCAATCCAATCATGATCAGTGCCAAGCTATGATTGCTGTGCTTCATTTAAATCAGAGAAAAGGGGGAGATGTAGGGAGACCCCCTGAAACTATTTCCATGACATAAAAGATGAAATGTTCCTGATTATTGTAAATACAAAATTACATGCATGATTGTGTAAATAAAATGCCAAGTTGGGCTGCCAGAATGAGCCAACAGCATGTGATGTGCTTCCGCCTGCAAAGAGCCTGTAAACAGACGTGCAGTCAGGGAGGTTTCACATCACCAAGATTCCTACCCAGAAAAGCAGATGTTCATAGCTCTGGGAATGGAATGAGACCCTTGTGTGGAAAGCCCATAAATGAATGCATGATGGGCACCTGTTCATATGGATAAGACAGGGCTATAAATGCCCTTATTTTGCCATGGCTCTCTTATTGCTCTTTAGGGTTAAGGCATACTCCCGTCTGAGAATTTATGATCTAACTGGTTGTCTAGCTTCACGTCCTGCTTCCATTGATTGTTTGCAAACAGCTTTTGCTGCAACTATTATGGCTGATTAATATCTTACTAATCACAGGTTATGGAAAGACTGTGTTTCTGTTTTAAGGCTCTGTTAGAAATTGCTGATGCACACATTACATTGTAAATTCCTATCTCTGTATACTGTACTTCTGCATACATACCGATGCTATGTTAAAGAATTACTTCATCCCCATGTGACAATCTCACCTCATAATCAAATGATCCTAAATCCCTCAGGAACCTACCTCCACCCTCACTAAACTTAATAAAAAATGCTGTTATATCCACTGCATTGGTGACATCACAGAACCAGAATGTGGTTACCCCCCTGAACAAAGCTTTCACTATCTTGTGTGTGTCTTTTATTTCTCGACCTGCTGATCTGCCTGGGAACAAAGAAAGAGCCCCATTGCATTGTGGGCTGCTGGCCAGATCCCACAGTAGTGTTAGGTTGTGACACTTAAATACACACCAGTAAAAAGTGTCACCCTAAAACATAAGGAGATTTTGTCACACCACTATGCCTAGTAACCCTAGGTGTTGAGATTAATGACTCAAATTCGTTACTACAGGTGGATTGTGAAATATCGCTGGATTAGAATCATAATAATACGACTCTTCATCTTAGGCCCAGCAAACAGGAAATATTGTCACATATCTCTAGGCCTATTTTCTAGGTGATGTATCTCTCCTTCTGGTGTCCTGCCCACAGGCAACACTATGATATATCACTATATATAGTATCATGGTAATGTGGCTCACCTCTCCTCCTTGGGTCCTGCTCACTGATGAAATTGTGACATACCCCAAGTGCGAAACATAGGTGATGTGAACCTCCCCCCTTTGTTCTGTACTCTGTCAAGAGAGGGAATTATATCATATGGCTAAGCCCAACACTTAGATGATGTGACTATCCACTATTTTTTCAATCCCGTATACAGCTGTCAAGATGACCTATTATTTGAGATTGCACCCAGGTGATTTGACCCATGGGAGTTGCTCCTTCCTACAGAGGAGATTATAGGGTATCCATGGCTCAGTATGCAAATGATGTGACTCTTCTGTCTTGTCTCTGTCCAAAGGCAAAATTATGATATACACCTGAAATCAGTGCACATACACAATAATAATTCTCATGAAGGCACCCAGCCATGGGAAATACTTTAACTCTCATAGTGTATCTTATAGCCATGGATAAAGTCCAAATCTCCCACCTATAAGAATTCACAGAAAATTAGCCTACTCAGTCATATCATATAAAGTCTGAGTTGTACAAAGCATGTTGTAAATGGCACCAGCGACCATGTGTTATTGTGACTCTTGGATGCACACCCAGCTGGCATGGTTTTCATTCTCACACATAAACAGAGCCTATGAATGATGTAGTAATTCTACCTCACATAAGCAGTCAAAGCTAGAAATTGTTACACTCACATATGAATCAGATCCACAGGTGGTTTGGTGATGTTTGAACCATGATTCAGCGAAATTTAGTGATTTGACTCTCCTCCTGGAATACAATCTTCAAGTGGGATTGAGGCTTTTACACATGCATCTTGCCCATTGTTGATATTGTGACTCCTCTACTTTGACTCAATCATAGGAGATGTTGACTCTCATACCTAAAGCTCGGACTTGTGTGGGACTGTGAATCTGATTCTGAACATTTTTCAGTATGTGAATGAGAAGTGTGACTTTGCCCAGTATCTGAGTATTTTGACTCTCCTTTCTGGCCCAGAGCACAGTTGAAATTGTGACACACCTGCAACAAGCAATATATAACACCTTCAGCAATGTGACAAAGGGCACTTTTACATGTCACTAACACCAGCATGCAGCTGATGTAAAATCTTGTCCTGAACCCTTACTACGGAGAGCACTGTGGCTTTTTTCTAGATCCATCATGTAAGTGATGTGACTTCTTTCTACTGCCTTGGCACTGTACTTATTGTGCATTGTGACACATAACAGGGTACTGCACTCAGGTGATGCAACTCATTTTTTGTGGGGCTCTGCCAATAGAAAGCTTTTTAACATAACTCTTGGTTCAGCACCTAGGTGATTTTTCTTTTTTCTTTCCTGAGTTCCAACCACCAGAGAGATTGTGAAATGTTGCTGAACCCAGAAGCAAAGCGAGGACACTTTCCGGCCTTGGTTCTGCACTTAGGGGCTTTTGTGACATATCTCCAGGCCAATTGCTTAAGTTTGTCTCATCTCCTGCCTAAGCCCTGCACATAGGGTGGATTTTGATATATCACTTAAAACAGCATCCAGGTGATGTGACTGTTTTCCAGGAGTCCTGCCCACCAGGAGGATTGTGATATTTCACTGGACCAGAGCCCACTAAGGTGATGTGACTTACCTTTCTTCACCTTGCCCACAGGTGATATTGTGGCATATACCTGAGAACACATCAAAGGGATAATAGCAACTCTTATACCTGGAGCTAGTATGGGCAGAATGATGACTCTCATTCCTGAACCTTTCCACTGGTGTTATTGTGACATATACGTTTGTCCAGCTCCTTAGTGATTTAATAATCCTGCCTAATTATAGCCTGCATATGACAGTTTGACATATACCTGGACCAACAACCTTATTAGTTTGACTCTCCTGTCATAACAGTGTCCTCAGAAAAAATTATAACATATCTATGGGCCCATCATCTAGGTAATGTGATGTTCCTCATTTGCCTGAACCTCCTTCCAGTGAAGAGTATAGCATTTTTAAACACTGCCTCCAAATAGCGTGACTCTCTTTCCTGGGCCATTTCAACAGGAGGTTTTGTGACATATCTCTGGGCCCATCATTTAGGTGATGTGACTCTCCTCAACTGCCTGGACACTCTCCAGAAGAGGCATTATGCCATACAACTTGGACTAGCACCAAAGTTTTGTAAATTTTCTGTTAGTGCCCTGCTAACAAAGAGAAGGTTGGAATACTTCTTGCTTAGAATTTAGGTGATATGTTTGTTCTGTCTGTTTTATAACCAAAGAAGGCATGGTGACATACACCTAGGCACAGCTAATAGGCATCATAATGACTCTTATATGTGGGACCAGGCAATAGAAGAAATTTTGCCTCTTATAACTAGGTTTAGGGACATGAGTGATGTGGAATCTCCTGCTATAAAGGTCACAGAAGTTTACTAACTCACACATATTTTATAACACCCTTCTGTTGTATAGAGAGTGTCATAAAGGGCCTAGCACACTGAATAAATTGTGAGTCTCGTATGCAAACCCAACTGACAGTATGGACTTTCACCATCACAGATGGATGAATGCAACTGTCCTACATGAAAACAGGACATGTGTGGTATTTTAAATCTAATCCCTAGAATTTTATTCCATCAAGACTGTGATATAATCTTTGCCAATTACCGGTGTGATTTGTCTCTTCAGACTGGTTCAAGCATACATATGGGATTTTGATATTTACCTGGGTCAGCCTTGAAGTGAGGTTACTCTTCTGCCTGGGCCCTGCTCTCAGTAAGTATTGTGACATTACTGGATGCAGTAACAAGGTGATGTTACATTCTTGCCTGCCCCATGAGACAGACATCATTGTTACATATCACTGTGTCCATCACTTAAAAGACATTACTCTGCTCTCTGGAATGGGCCCTGCAAGCAGGGCAGGATAATGACATATTCTTAAGCCTGGCACAGAGGTTATGATACTATTTTGGCATATTTCAAAATGTCCAAAAGAGGACATTTTGAAATACCACAGAACCTATCATAGAGATGATATGTCTCTTCTGCTTGGGAACTGCCCACTTGAAAAGTGACATATCGCTAGGCCAGACACAAAGGTGATGGTACTCTTTTGTCAGGGACATGCTTTAAGGAAAGCTTTGTGACATATTTCTATGCCTTTCACCTAGGTGATGTGACTTCCTGCTTGGCCCTGCCCACATGGAGCATTGTAAAATAAGTGTGGGACCTGCACCTAGGTGATGTAAATCTCTTGACTGGGTCCTTTTCTAAGGAGGGCTTGTGAATATCTCAGGTCCCAGGACCAGGTGATTTGGCTCTTCAGCCTGGATTCTGCCCACCTATTAAATTGTCTAGGTGTATTAAATACATATAAACAATTGACGTATTGTGAGATATTGAGCCCAGCACTTAGATAATGTTACTTTTGACTTGCTGCCAAACAATGCCCATGAACAGGCCTTTTGCCATATTTTAGGGCTCAGCACCCAGATGATGTTACTCTTCTGCCTAGGTCATGCATAAAGAGGGAATTATGGCATACTGTTTGGCCCAGCACTCTAATGATGTGACTCTCCTGTCTGTGACAGAGCCACAGAAATTATATTGACATATCTTTGGCCCAGTCTGTAGGTATTTTGGCTCTCATTACTTTGCTTGCTTTCTTCCACGTGTGATTGTATCACATTACTAAGCTCCATCCCCCAGTTAATGTGACCTTCTTTAGTAGACCCTGACTGAAAAGGGTATTGTGACTTATTGTTTTGCATAGCACCTAAGTGATGTTAACCTTCTGGCTAGGTTTTGTCCTAAAAATTGAATTATGACATATACCTTCCTTCAGTTCAAAGGCATGATGATCAAGCTTATATTCGGCCAGTAGGAGAGATTTTTTTTTCTCTTATCACTAGGTTTAGATCAATAGATAAATTCTTTAATTTGATATTTTACAAAGCTCACACAATTTTACAGCACTAACTCATATCATAAATACTTCTTGTGTGGTACAGAATGTTTCCTAATGGAGCCCATCAAAATGTTAAGATTGTGACTCTCAACTACACATTGTGGTGAAAGTAAAAGTTGTGACCATCTTATATTTACAAGGCCCATTGTTGAGGTCCTGAGTCTAACAAGTGAATACAGTAAAAAATTGGAATTGTAACTTTCATAAGGGAATCTGGCCACAAGTGGGTTGGTGACTCATTTCTGGACCCAGCTCACAGGCATAATAATGGACTCATCCCTGAAGCCAGCATACAAGACAGATGTTGACTGTCATACTTCAGTTTAGGAAAGTATGTAATACCATGAGTCCATAGCAGCATGTAGGTTTGCAACTCTCATTCATGCTCTATAAAGCCTTCTAATGATGTAAAGGGTTATACAGTGCCCCAGGAAACATGTGAGATTGTGACTCTCATATTCACAGCCAGCTCATGGTTAATGGTGTCACCCTAAAAGACAAGGAGATTTGGCATCTTACTAGGCGTAGTACCCAGGTGTTGATACATTTTGGTTTAAATTTCCCATGGGTACATTTTGACATATTGCTGGGTTAGAATCATAAAAATGTGACTCTTCTGCTAGGACCCTTCCAATAGATAATAGTATCACATATCTCTGGGCCTATAAACTTGGTGATTTTTCTCTCCAGTGCCTGCCCCCAGAAGACATTGTAAAATATCATTTGGCTTAACATCTAGGTCATGTTACTCACCTCTCCTGTCTGTCTTCTGCTCACCAAGTAAACTGTAACATACAGCTGATTGCAAAACCTAGGTATTGTGACTCTCATCCATGTTCTAGACTTTGTCAAGAGAGGGGATTATTACATTTTGCAGAGCCCAGCTCCTAGGTTGAGTGACTTGTCTCTTTTTCTGTCAATAGCAGGCTTGATACTATTTCAGTCTGTATCCAGGTGATGTGACTCTTCATACTATGCTCAGCCTACATATGTGATTATACTGTATCACTGGCTAAGCATCCAGATGATGTGAGTATCCTGGCTTCTTCCTGCTCATAGGTGGAACTGTGAAAAATGTTTGGGTTAACCACTTCTGCACAATAATAACTCTCATACCTAGACACAGCCGGTATGTTGAGATTCACTCTGGTTTCTGGTAGAAATATTAAAAGGAAATATTAGGGGACGTTATAAGGAACAGTCACAAACCTTTTTTGAAGGCTGAAAAGTTACATAGCTTGTAATAATTGAGCAGGCTTAAATTTTACCCCAGGGTAAAATTAGGGACAATATAGGCTTCCCCAGTTAAGTCTGTTTATTCTACCTCTATTTGAACTAATTGGCCCTCTCAGTGGGGAGCTTGACCAAGAAAATTTCCCCTTAATAGTATTTACTTTAGACCATAGTACCTGACCTTAATCATTTTTAGAACTACGCTCTTAACCATGTTAATTATCCACAATTGTGTTTACTCAAAACTTCCGTTATTAATTCTATACTAAAAGTTATTTACAACAGATGCCAGCAAAATGTTAAGATTCTGAATCTCCACTACACATTCAAGTGAAAGTAAAAGATGTTACCTTCTCACATTACAAATCCCATTGTTAAGATCCTGAGTCTAACAAGTGCATACAGAACAAGTGCATACACAAGTTGGAATTGTGACTTTCAAAAGTTAATATTGTCACAGGTAAGATGGTGACTCACTTCTGGCCCCAGGTCACAGGTTTATAAATGATCTCATCTCTGAAGCAAGCCTGTTGGAGAGATGTTGAGTGTCATATGTTGGCTTAAGGCAATATGAAAGATCATGAGTTCATATAAGCATGTAGGCCTCAGAGATGTTTCAACTCTCACGCATGTTGTATATTGTTAACAGATGTTGCAGAGAATGTTTTACAATGGCTACAACATACGTGACATTGTGACTCCATATAAACAACTAGCTAACCATTAATTGTGTCACCCTTAAAGATGAGGAGATTGTGTCATATTACTTGGCTTCGTACCCCAGTGTTGGGACATTTTGGTTTAAATTCCTTTCCATAAGGACATTGTTATATATCACTGGGTCAGAATCATGATAATGGGACTCTTCTGCCTGGGCCTTGAAAATGGGGTATTTTTGTACACCTCTGGGCCTATTGGCCAGGTGATATGTCTCTCCTGCCAGTGCATTGTGATATATCACTAGATATAGCATCTAGGTAATGTGAGTCTCCTCTTCTGCCTGGAACCTGTCTACCAAAGAAATTGTGACATACAATTGAGTGCAAAGCCTAAGTGACATGACTCTCTTCTTTTCCCTGGACTCTGCCAAGACATGGAATTACTACATGTTCCTGAGTTCAGCACCTATGTGTTGTGATTTTTTTTTCATCAAACCTGTCTACATTGGGCATTGTGACATATTACTTGAGGCTCTACCCAGGTGATGTGACTCTTCTGCCTGATTTCTGCCCACTTGTTAGATTGTGACATATAACTAGGAAAGCACCTAGGTAACATGACTTTCCTTTTCTGACTCTGCCTTGACTACTAGGGCAGTGGTACCTGTCTCCAAGCCCAAGACTTAAGTGAATTGACTCTGTTCTTCAGCCTGGTGTTTACAATGAGGGAATTGTGACATATTGCTCAGCCTGGCACTCAAATTGACTCCTTTTTCTGTTGAACCATGCAAACAAACAGAAATTTTGACCTATTGCAGGGCCCAGCATGCATATAATATTACTTTTTAGCCTGGATTGTGCATACAGTGAGGATTATGGCATGTTGCTGTTCCCAGCACACTAACATGTGACTATCACGCTTTCCTGCAGCTACAGAAGGTATTTTGACATATCCTGAGCTTATTCTGTAGGTGTTTTGGCTCTGATTTCTTTTCTGTTCTTTTTCCACATATGGTGTAGTGTCATATTGCTGGGTCTATTACCCAGTTAATATGATTTTAATTCCTATACTTTGCCTAGAGACAGCATTGTGACATGATGCTTGGCACAGCACCTAAGTGATGGTGCAACCCTGCTTAGTTTTTGACACACAAATGAGATAATGACATATACCTTACTTCAGTTCACAGGCAAGATGGTCCAAATTATACTGGGATTCAGCCAATAGGAGATATTTTGCTTTGTAACACTAGGACAAGATTAATAGATGAGGTTGTGGGTTGCATATTTGCACCAAACTAAAAGATCTTTATAAAACTAACTGGGAATGTATAAACTCCTTGTGGGGTACAGAGAGTTTCATGACAGGGAATAGCAAAAATTCATATTGGGACTCTGGATTACACACTCAAGTAAAAGCAAATGTTGAGACTATTCCAATTATCCAAAGCTCACTGTTAAGGTCTTGAGTCTAACAAGTGAATACACTACAAAATTGGAATTGTGACCTTCATATGTGGATCTGGCCATAGGTGGGCTGGTGACTCTTTTCTTGATCCAGCTCACAGGCATAATAAAGTGTGTCATCCCTGAAACCAGACTACAGAAGAGATGTTGACTGCTATACCTTGGGTTTAGGGCATTATGTAAGATCATGAATCCATATAAGCATGTAGGCCTCAGAATGATTTGCAACTCTAATGCAATAAAGTGTTAATCAATGGCCCAGGAAACAAATGAAATTGTTACTCTTATATACGCACCCAGCTCACAGTTAATGGTTTCACCCTCAAAGTCAAGGAAATTTGGTATATTACTAAGCCTAGTACCCAGCTGTTGAGATAATTTGGCATAAATTTCTTCCCATGGGTGCATTGTGATATATCACTGGGTTCATATTATTATAATGTGACTCTTCTGTCTGGACTCTGCTAACAGGAGATATTATCACATTAATCTGGGCCTATAAACTGGGGAATTGGTCTCTCCTGCATGTTCTCTGCCCCCAGAGGACATTGGGAAATATTGTTTAACTTAACATCTAGGTCTTGTAACTCTCCTCTCCTGTCTGGATCTGGCTCACCAAAGAAGTTTTGACATACCACTGATTGCAAAACCTATGTGATGTGGCTTTGCTTCATATTCTAGACTCTGCCAAGAGAGTGGATTATTACAGTTTGCAGAGCCCAGCACTTAGGTAGAGTGATGCTCCTCTTTTTCTTTCCTCCTGTCAATAGTGCACTTGGTGACATACTCTTTGATGCTGTCCCAAGGCGATGTGACCATTCTGACTAGTTGCCATATGCAAAGGAGATTATACTGTATCACTGGCTCAGCACCAAGGTGATCGGATGTGACATTTCTGACTAGGCCCAGTCTACAAATAAGACTGTACTGTATAATTGACACAACACTTCGGTGATGTGACTTTCCTTTCTTATAACTGCTGACTGGTCAAGTTGTGATATATATATGTGTTAAGCACACATGCAGAATAATAACTCTCATACCTGGACCCAGCCAGTAGAGATAATTGACTCTCATAGCCAGTCTTATGACCATGGGTAAAGTCCTGGTTTTTTTAATTGTATAAAATTTACAAAGGATTATAACACTCGGCTATATCATATAAAGCCTTAATTGTACAAATAATGTTATAACAGAGGCCAGCAATGAAATGAGAATGGGAAGTTTGAATGCACACCTAGCTGACATGATTGTCATTCTCACACATGAACAGGGCATAGGAATAAGGTACTAATATCGCACAAATAAGCAGTCAAATGTTTAAATAATTATTCTCATACATAGATCTGATTCACAGATGATTTGGTAACATTTGAACCATGATTCAGCACACCTGTGGTGTTGTGTCTTCCTTACTGGAACACAGTCTTCAAGGGGGATTGGGGCTCCTATACATGAATCTTGACCGTTGTTGAGATTATGACTCCTCTATTAAGATCTACCTCATAGAAAGAGTTGACTTACCTACAGGAAACCAGGTGTTGTGTGGCATGTGAAACTTATTTCCAAACATATCTGAGAGTGTGATTGGGACAGGTAACCATGTCTAGCACATGAATAATCTGACTCTCTTTTCTAGGCCCAGACAACAGGTGAAATAGTGCCATATGTTGAACAAAAACCCAAGGAATATATAATACCTTCTTTGGCCTTGCCTTCAAAGGGCACTTTCATATATCACTGGGACCATCACCCAGGTAATGTGAATTATCTGCCTGAAATCTGCCTACAAGAAGAATTGTGTTTTATATCTACATCCCCCATGAATTGACGTGACTCCCTTCTACTGCCTTGGCCCTGTACTTACAGTGGATTTTGACACATAACTGAATACTGCCCCTAGGCGATGTCATTCTCCTTTTTGACTTCTACTAACAGGAACATTGTAACATATCACTTAGCTCAGCATGTAGCTCATGTTTCTTTGCTTTTTCCTGGGCCTTGGCCACAGAGAGGTTGTGACGTATTTCTGGGTCCAGCCCCCCTCTGAGGTCACTCTCCAGCCTTGATAATGCACATAAGAAACATTGTGACACATAGTTAGGCCAATTGCCCATGTGAAATGAGTCTCCTCTTTTGTGAGAATCCTGCCTAGAGAAGGAGTTTTGATATATCACTGAAACCAGCATCCGGGTAATTTGACACTTCTGCCAGGGTCTTGTCCACAAGGTGGATTGTGACATCTCACTGGATCTACACCCACGTAGCTGATGAGACTTTATTTTCTTCTCTCTGGTTGCAGGTGATATTGTGCCATACACCAGAGAACATAATAAAAGCCTAATAACAATTCATATATCTGGAGCCAGGATATGTGCAGGATGGTGACTGTTATTCTTAAACCTATCTACAAGTGTAACTTATATATACCTTTGCCCAGCTCCTTAGTGATGTAATAATTCTGTGTAGGTATAGTCCTCAAATGACATTTTGACAAATCCTTGGGCTAAGCACCTTTGTCATTTGACTGTGTTATCTTAACAATATCCACAGGAGTGACTGTAACATATTTCTGGTCCATGATCTACATTACATGACTGTTCTCTCCTGCCTGTATATGGCTTTTCTTGGTAATTGTAGCATTTCTAAACACTGCATGCAAATGATATGACTCTCTTGCCTGGGCCCTGTCAAGAGAAGGCAGAGTGACATACTTTGCGGCCCATGATTTAGCTGATATGGCTTTTCTCTTTTCTCTGCCCCCCGGACATTACCAACAAAGGACATTGTGTCATAAAGCTGGATCTAACACACAAGTTACATAGCATTTCTGACAGGATCCTGCCTACAAAGAGTATATTGGAATATTTCTGGCAAAGAACTTAAGTGATGTGGCTGTTCTGAATGCTTCATAACCACAGAAGAAATTGTAACATAAACCTTGGCACAGTTCACAGTAATAATAGTGACTCTCATATGTGGACTCAGCCAATAGAAGATATTTTGACTCTTATAAATAAGTTTAGGAACGTTTGTGATATCTTGTATCAGCTTCTGCAAAGGTCACAAAAGATTACAAAACTCACACATATACAAAGTCTTTGGGTTATACAGACAGAAACAAAGCAGGGCTCAGCACACAGAAGAAATTATGTCTTTGAAGTACACATATCTGACAGTAAAGACTGTCAAAATCTCACACGGATGAAACCAATTGTCACACATTAAAATAGGACATGTGTCATATTGTAAATCTCATCTGTGGGATTTTCTGACGGTGTGATTGTGATATAGATCTTTGCCAAGCACCTGTGCAATTTGATACTCCATACTTGTTCCAGCTCATGTATGGAACAGTGATACCTATCTTGGCCAACCTCGAGGTGATGTGACTCTCCTGCCTGGGCCCTTCTCTCAGTAAGGATTGTGAAATGTCACTTAATCTAATATGCATGTGATGTTACTTTTTGTCTGTGCCATGCCCATCATAATTATTGTGACATATTTCTGTGTCTACCCATAGATGAAGTAAATCTCCACTATGGAATGGGCCCTGCACAAAGGAAGGAGAGTTACTTATTGCAAGGCCAGGCACACAGGTGAGGGTACTGCTTTTCCAGAGGTATTCCCAAAAAAGGGCATTGTGACATATCTCTGGACCTATCATCTATGTTATGTGGCTTTTCTACTTGGGCATTGCCAACCTAGAGAGTGACATATTTCTAGGACAGACCCACAGGTGATGTTACTCTTTGACAGAGCTATGCTTTGTAGAGGTCATTATGACATATCTTTGTGCCTATTACCTCAGTAAAGTGACTCCTGAATTGGGCCATACAGACATGGGGAATTGAGGCATAAGCAGAGACCTAGGTGATGTAACAATCTTACCTGGGTGCTGTCCTAAGATAGTCTTGTGGCATATGTCAGGACCCAGCCCCCAGTGATGTGGCTCTTCTGCCTAGTTTCTGTGCACATGTTACACTGTGACATATTCCTACAAAAGCATCTATTTGATATAATTCTGCTTGTCTGCCTGAGTTCTCCCTGCTGGGGACCCTGGGACATATCTCTTACCCCGTGGCCTAAGTGATGCGACTCTCTTTTTTCTGCCTGGACCTCACAATAGGATGATTTTGACACATTGCTTAACCCAGCACTCAGGATAGGTGACTCTCCTTTTTTTCCTAAACCATGCCACCCAAAAAAGGAATTTTGACCTGTTTCAGGGCCCAACACCCAGTTGATGTTACTGTTCTGCCTGATTTCTATAAAAACAGGAAATTATGGCATATTGCCTATTGCTATGCCCAGCACTATTATGATGTGACTCTCCTGTCTGTACTGGAGCCACTGAAGGTATTTTGACATACCTTGGGTCCAATATGTAGGTGTTTTGGCTCTCATAACATTTTTGGGTTTTTTTCACATGTGAAATGGTGTCATATTTCTTGGTCTAGCACCCAGTTTATGTGACCCAGTTTTCTATACCCTGCCTAGAGAAGGCACTGAAACATATTGCTTGGCACAACACCTAAATGGTGCTGCCTTCCTGTTTTTTATTTTTCACAAATGGGGCTATGACATGTACCTTGATTCAGCTCATAGGTATGATGTTCACATTTACACTGCAGTTCAGCCAATAGAAGATATTTTGAATCTCATTGTTAGGTTTAGGGCAATAAGTAAGTCCTGGGCTGCATATTTGTACCAAGCTCAAAGGATACAACACTAACTTATATTGTATAAACTCATTAGTGGTACAAAATTTTACAACAGGACCCAGCAAAATGTTCAGATTTGGACTATTTATTACACATCCAGGTGAAATTAAAAGTTGTCACCATCCTATATGTACAATGCCCACTGTTGAGGTCCTGAGTCTAACAAGGGAATACAAAACAAAATTGGAATGGTGCATTTATATGTGGATCTGTCCAGAGGTGGGATAATAATAGTCTTCTACTTTAACCCTACATATAAAAGACAGGTTGACCAACAAACCTGGGCTTAGTGCAATATGTAAAATTGTGAGTCCAAATGAGCATGAAGGTCGCTGAGAAGTTGTAACTCTCACCAGGTTTTATAATGCCCACAGATTTAGAGAGTGTCATACATTGACCCAGCATACAAGTGAGATTGTGACTCTAATATTCAAGCTTAGCTGAAAGTTCAAGGTGTCACAGTAAAAGATGAGGAGATTGTGTCATATCACTAGGCCTAGTAATCAGGGGTTGAGACTTTTGGCTTAAACTCTTGCCCATAGGTACATTGTGAATTATCACTGGGTCAGAATCCTAATAATGTTGAAACACAGCCAACAGGGGATATTATCACCTATCTCTGGGCCTATGAGCTAGGTGATGTGTCTCTCATGCCAGTGCCCTGCCACAGAGAACACTGTGACAGAGCACTAGATATAGTATCTAGGTAATATGACTAATCACTCATGCCTGTATTCTGGCCACTGAAGAAATTGTGACGTATCACTGAGTGCAAAATCTAGGTGATGTGACTCTCCTCTTTGTCTTGGACTCTGCCAATGAGGAAAAAATAACATATTGCTGAGCTCAGCACCGAGGAGTGTGACAATCCTCTATTTTTCAACCAAGTGTTTAGTGGTCATGATGATACTATTGGAGAGAGTACCCAGGTGATATGACTGTTCTGACTGGGTGCTGGCTAAAAAGGAAATTATAATGTATCCCTTGCTCAGTACCCAGATAATGTAACTCTTCTGTCTTGTCTCAGTCCAAAGGTGAAATTGTGACACATACCTGGATTCAGTTCATATGCACAGTAGTAACTCTGATAACTAGACCTAGCCAGGGGGAGATATTTGACTCTCATAGGCAGTCTTAAGGCCATGGGTAAAGTCCTAGATCTCCAACCTATAAGAAATCACAGAAAATTATGCTACTCAGGCATATCATATAAAGCCTGAGTGTTACAAAGAGTTTCATAGCAGGTACCTGCAACCAGGTATTATTGTGTGACTCTTGGATGCACACCCAGGTGACACAATTTTCATTTTCACACCTGAAGAAAGCCTACAAATAAAGTAGTAAATCTCACACACATAAGCCTCAAAGCTTGAAATTGTTACTGTCATACATGAATCTGATCCACAGGTGGTTTGGTGATGTTTGAGCTATGATTTAGCAAACCTGTGGTACTTTGACTTTCCTACTGGAACATAATTTATGAGTGGGATTTAGACTATTATATATAGGTCATTCCTATTTTTGAGATTGTGATACCTGAGGACACTTATTCCCAGAGCCAGGACATCTGCAGGATGATGATTCTCATCCCTGCCCCTTTTCACAGATGTTATTGTGACTTACACATTTACCCAGCTCCCATATGATTTAATAATCCTGCCTTGTTTTAGTGCACAGATGACATTTAGACTTACACTTTTGCCAGGAACCTTTGTGGTTTCACTCTCCTGTACTTCAACCCAACTTACAGGAGGTGTTGACTCTCATACCTGAAGCCAGGACTTTTGTGGGACATTGAAACTTATTTCTGAACATTTTTGACAGTGTAATTGAGAAGTATGACTTTGCACAGCATCTGAGTGTCTTGATTCTCCTTTCTATGCCCAGAGCACAGTTGAAATTGTGACTTACCTGCACCTAGCACTGAAGCAATAAGCAACATCTTTTTTTGGCAATGCAGCATAGGGCATTTTTGCATATCACTAAGACCAGCACTTGGCTGATGTGAAATCTTGGCCTGAAGCCTGCCTACAAAGAGCACTGTGGCTTTTATTTAAGTCAATTACTTAAATGATATGACTTCCTTCTACACTGTCTTAGCCCTGCACTTCTGGTTGATTGTGACACATAACTGGGTAATGCACCCAGGTGATGTGACTCTTTTTTGGGGGATGAAGTTTCTGTCAATAGTAAGCTTTGTAAAATATTACTTTGCTCAGCACCTAGGTGATGCTTCTTTTCTCTTGCCTGTGCCCTGACCACCAGTGAAATTGTGACGTATTGCTGAACCCAGCAGCAAAGTGAGGTTACTCCCTTATGTTGGTCCTACACATAGCAGCCATTGTGACATATATTCAGGCCAATTGCATAGAGAAGTTTGTCTTCACTCCTGCCTAAGTTCTGCTCACAACGGGATTTTATATATCACTGAAACCAGAATCCAGGTGATGTAACTCTTCTACAAGGGTCCTAGCCACAAGGACATTTGAGATATTTCACTGGACTATCATCCACTAAGGTGATGGAACTTTCCTTTTTTCTCCCTGTTCACAGGTGATATTGTTCCATTTACCTGAGACCAGATCAAAAGCCTAATGATTACACTTGTCCCCAGAGCCAGGACATGTGCAGCATCATAATTCTCATCCCTGCCCCTTTTCACAGGTGTTATTGTGACATATTCCTTGTCATAGCACACAGATGACATTTGGACCTATACCTGTGCCAAGAACATTTGTGGTTTTAGTCTCATGTCTTAACAGGTTCTCAGAAGTGATCATAACATATCTCTGGACCCAATGTCTATGTTATGTGACTCTCCTCTCCTGCATTAACCTTGTTTCCAGTGAGGAGTGTAGCATTTCTAAGCACTGCATTTAAATGACATGAGTCTGGGATTTTTAAAGAGGAGGCATTGTGATATCTCTCTGGGACCACGATTTAGTTGATATGACTCTCCTCTACTGCCTGGACACACTCCAAAATGGTCCACAAGGACAGGGTGATGTGGCTTTTCAACCTGGTTTCCACCCACATATTAAATTGTGAAATATAGCTAATGAAGCACCTAAGTAATATGACTTTTTCTGTCTGAGACCTGCCTACTGGTGACATTGGGCCATATTTGTGAGCCCATGACCTAAGTGACGTGACTCTATTTTTGTCTGGCCCTTTACAATGGTAAGATTGTGACATATTGATGAGCTCAGCACTTAGGTAATGTGACTGTCATCTTGTAACTGAACAATGCCCACGAACAGAACTTTTGCCTTATTTCAGGGCCCAGTACCCAGATGATGTTGCTCGTCTGCCTAGGTTGTGCATAAAGAGGGAATTGTGGCATATTGCTTGGCCTAGAACCCTAATTATGTGACTTTCTTGCTTGTACCAGGACCACAGACGGTATTTTAACATATCTTTGGCCCATTTTGTAGGTATTTGGGCTCTTATCACTTGGCTGAATTTCTTCCATGTGTGGTTGTATTATATTGGTGGCTCCAGCCCCCAGTTAATGTCATCCTCTTTCCTAGGCACTGCTTACAGAGAGCATCATGACATATTGCTTGACAAAGAACCTAAGTGATGTTAACAAGTCCAAAGGTAAGATGATCAAGCTTGTGTCAGGATTTGGCCAATAGGAGATATTTTTCCTCTCACTACTATGTTTAGGTCAAAAGGTCAGGTTATTCTTTGCAAGTTTCTAGAAAACTCACAGTAGTTTACAACACTAACTCATGTAATAAAAACTTCCTTGTTGGTGCAGAGTTTCTTAACAGTGCCCAGCAAACAGTTAAGGTTATGATTCTTGACTACACACTCAGGTGAAAATAAGTTTTTACCATCCTACATTTGCAAAGCCCATTATTGAGATCCTGAGTCCATCAAGTGAATACAACACAAAGTTGGAATTGTGACTTTCATGAAGGAATGTGGCCACAGCTGGGATGGTGACTCATTTTTGGAGCTGGCTCACAGTCATAATAATGATCTCATCCCTATCTCCAGCCTATAGGAGAGATGCTGACTGTCATAGCTGGGTTTAGGGCAATATGTATAATCATAAGTCTGTAAATGCCTATAGTCCTCAGAGAGGATTGCAACTCTCATGCATATTGTATAACATTCTCAGATATCGTAGAGACTGTCATACAATGGCCAGCATACACATGAGATTATGAGTCTGTTATACACAAATAGCTAATATTTAATGGTATCACCCTTAAAGATGAGAATATTTTGTCACATTCCTTGCCCAAGTACCTGGTGTTGAGAACTTTTAGTTTAAATTTCTAGGTCAGAATCAAGATAATGTGACTCTTCTGCCAGGGCCCTGTAAACAGAGGATATTTTCACATATCTCTGGGCCTATTGACTATGTAATATGTCTCTCCTGACATTACACTGCTGAGAAGAGAAACTGCAACATATTACTAGATTTAGAATCTAGGTAACGTGACTCATTTCTCTTGCCTGGATCCTCCTCACTGAAAAAACTGTGATATACCCTTGAGTGCAAAACCTATGTGACATAAATCACCTTTTTGTACTTGAGTCTGTCAAGAGAGGGAATTATTACATATTGGTGAGCACAGCACCCACGTGATGGTGTCATTATTTTTTTTAAAAAAATCCTATCTATAGTGGAGATCATGAGATATTACTTCTGGTTGTACCCAGATGATGTGGGTCTTCTGACTGGTTTCTGCCCACAGTTAAGATTTTCACATATAACTAGTGAAGCATTTAAGTGATATGACACTCCCTTTCTGCCTGGGCCCTCTCCACTTGGGATACTGGGACATATATCTGAGTCCATGAACTAAGGAAAGTGACTCTTTTTTTCTGCCTGGTCTTTACAGTGGAGGGATTGTGAAAGACTGCTCAGCCTAATAATCAGGTTATCTGATTTACCTTTTTTTTTTCTCAAATCATGCCCACAAACAGAAATTTTGACCTCTTGCAGGGCCCAGCACCCAGATAATGTTACTCTTTTTACATGCGTTATGTATGTAGAGAATATTATGACATACTGCTGGGCCCAGCACCCTGATAATGTAAAACTCATGACTGTGCTGGAGCCACAGAAGGTATTTTCACAGAGCAGGGGCCAATTATATAGGTGTTTTGGCTCTCAACTTTTTGCTGTTTTTTTTTTTTTTCCAACATAATGGATTGTGTCATATTGCTGAGTCCAGAACCCAGTTACTGTGATTCTAAGTCCTATACCTTACCTAGAGGGGATATTGTGACATGTTGCTTGGCATAGCACCTAAGTGTTGTTACCCTCTGGCCCAGTTTTTGTTTTTTTTTTTTCCACACAAATGCGACTATGGCTTCAGTTCACAGTCATGATGGTCAAACTTATATTGGGATTATATTGTGATTCAGCCAATATGAGATATTTTACCTTTCATCACTAGGCCTAGGGCAATAGACAAAGTACTAGTTTGCATAATTGTGCCAAGCTCACAGAGCTTTACAATTCTAACTCATAATGTATGAACTCCTTTGATGGTATAGAGATTTTGGTGACAGGGACCAAAAAAAATTTCAGTTTGAGACTCTTGATTACATACCCAGGTAAAAGCAAGTGTTGTCATCATTCTTTATGTCCAAAGGTCACTGTTAAGAACCTGAGTTTTACAAATGAATGTAGTACAAAGTTGGAAGTATGACCTTCGTATATGGATCTATCCACAGGTGGAATTGTGACTTATTTCTAGATCCAGCTCACAGGCATAAAAATGGGTCTCACTTCTAACCCAGCCTAGAGAAGAGATGATGACTGTTATACCTGGGTTTAGGGCAATATGCAAGATCATGAGTACATATGAACATGTAGGCCTTAGAGTGGTTTGAAACTCTCATGCATGATGTATAATGCTTTTGAATATTGTAGAGTTTCATACAATGGCCCAGGAAACATGCAAGATTGTTACTCCCATATGTACACTAGCTCAGAGTTTATAGGGTCACCCTCAAAGACAAGGGGAATTGGTGTATGAATAGGTCTAGTACTTAGGTGTTGAGACTATTTGGCCTAAATTCATTTCTTTGGGTGCATTGTGACATATCACTATGTTAGAATCATACTGTGACTGTTCTGTCTTGATCCTGCCAAGAGGGGATATTATCACACATCTTGGGGTCTATAAGCAAGATGATTTTTCTTTTCTGATTTTTCTTTTCTGTCAGTGTCCATCCCCCAGAAGACATTTTGAGATATCATTTCACTTAACATCTAGGTAATGCAACTCTCCTCTCCTGCCTGGGTCTTGCTCAGAAAATAAATTGTGATATACCACTGATTGAAAAACTGACATTATATGGCTCTCCTCCACATTCTAAACTCTTCTGAGAGAGGTTTGTTATATATTGCAAAGTCCAGCACCTAGGTGGAGTGACTGTCCTCATTTATTTCTTCCCTGTGTATAGTAGGCTTGCTGACAAACTATTTGAGGCTATACCTAGGTGAAGTGACTCCTCTGACTAGACCCAGTATGCAAATGAGGTTATGCTGTATCACTGGTTCAGCATCGAGGTGAGTTGACTCTTTTGCCTTGTCTGTTCTTACAGGTGAAATTGTGACATATAACTAGGTTAAGAGCACATGCACAAAAATAACTCTCATAACTGGAGCCAGCCAGTAGAGATATTTTGACTCTCATAGCGATGGGTTTAGCCCTGTGTTTTTCACTTGTATAAAAGTCATGAAGGATTATAATACTCAGGTAGATCATATAAAGCCTTAATGGTGCAAACAGTGTCATAACAGAGGCCACCAACCAGGTGAGAATGTGACTCTTGAATGCCCACCTAGCTGACATGATTTTCATTGTCACACATTAACAGGGCCTAGGAATGAAATACTAAATCTCACACATAAAAAGCTGTTGATGTTTGAAATAATTACTCACACATATGGACCTGATCCGCAGGTGGTTCATTAACATTTGAACCAGGATTCAGCATGTCTGTGGTGCTGTAACTCCCCTCCTGGACCACAATGTTCAAGTGGGATTACAGCTCTTATACATGGATCTTGCCCACTGTTGAGATTTTGAATCCTCTATTTTGACCCAACTTATAGAAAGAATTAACTCACATACACAAAACCAGGACTTATGTGGGATATGAAACTTATTTCCGAACATATATGAGAGTGTGATTGGGACAGGTGACTTTGCCCAGTAAATGAATAATTTGACTCCTTTTCTAGGCCCAGATCACAGAAGTAATTGTGCCATATGTGGAACAAGCAGCTAAGCAATAGATAACATCCATCGTGGCTCTGCCTTCAAAGGGAAATTTTACATATGTCACTGGGACCATCACCCAGGTGATGTGAGTTATCTGCCTGAAACCTTCCTACAAAAAGAATTTTGTGACATACGTAGATCCATCATGTAAGTGATGTTACTCACTTCTTCCTTTGCCCTGCAGTTGCAGGGAATTGTGACAAATAACCGGGTACTGCATTCAGGGGATGTGATTCTTCTTTTTGGGTTCTGCCAACAGGAAGCATTGTGACATATCACTTGGCTCAGAACCTAAGTGATGTTTCTTTGCTTTTGCCTTGGCCCAGGCCACAAGGAGATTGTGACATATTTCCTGAGCACAACACCTGTGTGATGCCTCTCTACAGCTTTGTTACTGCACAGAATAGACATTGTGACATATATCTAGGCCAATTGCCTTGGTGAAGTGAGTCTCCCTTCTTGCCAAAGTCCTGCCCAGATAGGGAATTTTGATATGTCACTGAAATCCATGCAATGTAACTATTACAACAGGTTCCTGCCCCCTTGTTGAATTTGTGACATCTCACTGGACCTGGACCCACGTAGGCGATGGGACTTTCTTGTGTTTTTTCTGGCCACATACCAGAGACCTAAACAAAAGCCTAATAACAACTCACAAGACTGGAGCCTAGGACTTGTGCAGGATGGTGACTCTTAGTCTTAAGTCTTTCCACAAGTCTAATTGTGACATATACATTTGCCTAACTCCTGAGTGATTTAATAATTCTGCCTAGGTATAGCAAATGAGATTTTGACAGATAGATTGGCTGAGCACCTTTGTGATTTGACTGATGTATCTTAAAATGTCCTCAGGGGATATTGTAACATATTTCTGGATGCTTCATCTAGGTTACATGACTCTCCTCTCCTGACTGTACCCTGCTTCTGTTGGTGATTGTAGTATTTATAAATACTGCATCCAAATGATATGACCCTCTTGCCTGGGCCTTGTCAATAGGAAGCATTTTGACATAATTTTGGGCCCATCCTTTAGGTGATATTACTCTCTTCTCCTGCCTGGACACTGCCCACAAGGGGTATGGTGTCACAGAGCTTGACATAGCATGCACGTTATGTGATATTTCTGAGACAGCCCTGACTACAAAAAGCATATTTGAGTATTCTGACCCAGCATTTATGTGATGTGGCTGTTAGGCCTCCTTCTTAACCGCAGAGGGAATTGTAACATATACCTATGCATGGTTCACAGCCATGATAATGACTGTCATATGTGGACTCAGTCAATAGAGAATATTTTGAATCTTAGAACTCAGTTTAGGGACATGCATGGTGTCCTTTGTCTCTTTCTTGTACAAAGGTCAAAAATTATTACAACACTCATACATATTTTACAAACTCTTTGGTTTATACAGACAAAATCAAAGCAGGACTCAGCACATAGGTGAAATTGTGAGTCTTGTATGTACACCCAGCTGAAAGTAAGGACAACTTATCTCACATAGACAGAGGGATCTGTCACATATGAAAACAGGACATGTGTGGTATTGTAAATCTCATCTTTGGAATTTTCTGACAGTGTTATGATGACGTAAATTTTTGCTAAGCACCTGTGTAATTTGGTTCTCTGGACCTGTCCCTTCTTATATATGGGGTTATGATATCTACCTAGGCCAACCTCTACGTGATATGACTTTCCTGTCTTACTTGTCCTATCTCTCAGTAATGATTGTGACATATCACTGGATATAGCACCCAGGTAATGTTACATCCTTACTTGGGCCATGACCACCAAAATTATTGTAACATATTTCTGTGTTTACCTCATAGGTGATGTGAGTCTCCTCTCTGCAATGGACACTGCACAACAGAAGAATAGTGACATATTGCAAGGACTGACACACAGGCAAATTTCCTCCTTATCCTGTGGATGACCAGTGGAGGGCAATGTGGCATATCTCCGGGGCTATCATCTATGTTATGTGGCTCTTCTGCTAGGGTCCTTCCAACCTTGAAAGTGACATATTTCTAGGCCAGGCACACAGGTGATGGTACTCTTTCCAGCATTATGCTTCATACAGTACACTGTGACATATCTCTGGGCCTATCACCTAAATGTAGTAACTCTCTCCTTGGGTCCTAACCAGATGAAGGATTGTGTTATAACCAAGTGACCGGCACCTAGTATGATGTATCTCTCTTGCCTAGGTGTTGTGTTAAGAGAGACTTATGACATATCACAGGACACAGCACACAAGTGATATAGTGCTTCTACCTGGTTTCTGTCTACATGTTAAACTGTGACATATTCTGTGGGAAAAACATAGGTGATATTACTGTCCTCATCTACCTGAGCTCTGCCTACTGGGGGCATTGAGATGTATCTCTGAACCTAAGTAATGCGACTCTCTTTTTCTTCCTGGGCCTTCACAATAGGAGGATTTTGTCACTTTGCTGAGCCCAGCACTCAGGATATGTGACTCTCCACTTTCTCCTGAACCATGCCCACAAAAAAGAAATCTGACATATAACGTTGCTCAGCACACAGATCATGTTACTCTTCTGCATGGGATCTGCATAAAGAGATAATTACGGCATATTGCATATAGCTGGGCCCAGCAACATTAAGATGTGATGTTTCTGCGTGTGCTGCTAATACTGAATGTATTTTGACATATATTGGGCCCATTATGTAGGCATTTTGACTCTCATAACTTGGCTGGGTTTTTTCCACATATGAAATTTCTGGGTCCGGCACCCAGTTAATGTGATTCAATTTTGTACACCCTGCATAGAGAAGGTATTGTGACATATTGCCTAACACAACATCTAAGTGCTATTGCCCTTCTGCATAGTGTTCTGCCCACATATTTGATTATAACATATACTCTGCTTCAGTTCACAGCCATGATGATGAAACTCATATTGGGATTCAGCCAATAGAAAATCTTTTGCTTTTCATTCTTAGGCTTGGGGAATAGGAAAGGTCCTAGGTTGCATATTTGTAGCAAGCTCACAGAAGCTTACACAACTAACTTATATTTTATAAACTCTTTTGTTGTAGAAATTTTCATAGCAGGGGCCAGCAAAAAGTTCAAATTGGGACTCTTGATTACATGCCCAGGTGAAATTAAAAGTTGCCGCCATCCTACATTTAGAAAGCCAACAGTTGAGTCTTATTCCTAAACCTTTCCACAAGTGTAATTGTGACATATATTTTAGTTCAGTTCCTGAGTGACTTAATAATTCTGCCTAGATATAGCCCATGAATGAGATTTTGACAAATATCTGCATCAAGCACCTTGGTGATTTGACTGTGCTGTCTAAAACTGTCCTCAGGCAGAATAGTCACATATTTCTGGACCCATTATCAAAGGCATATAACTCTCCTCTTTGACCTGTACCCTGCTTCCTTTAGTAATTGTAGCATTTCTAATCACCACATTCAAAGGACATGACTCTCTGTTTTGGACCTCCTCAACAGGAGCCATTTTGATGTATGTTTGAACCCAGATTTTAGGTTATATGACTCTCCTCTCCTTCCTAGACACATCCCAAAATGAACACTGTGCAACAGAGCTGGATTTAGCACACAAGTTATGTGATATTTCAGACAGCACCCTGCCTGAAAAAATAATAATGGGATATTTCTGGCCCAGCATTTAGGTGATGTGATTGTTTGGCCTGATTCATAACCACAGAGGAAATTGTAACAAATAACTAGGAATGGCTCACAGGAATAATAATGACTCTTATTAATATATGGACTCAGCCAATAGATGATATTTTGACTCTTGTAACTCAGATTACAGACATGTGGGATGTCCTGAATCACTTTCTTGTACAAATGTCACAGAAGATTACAACACTCACACATATTTTACAAAGTCTTTGGTTTATAATGAAAAAGTCAAACCAGGGTTCAACTCAAGTGAAATTGTGAGTCTTGTATGCACACCCAACTGACAGTAAGGACTGCCATCATCTCTCATGGATGAAGTCAATTGTCACACATGAAAACAGGACATGTGTTGTACTGTAAACTCATCTTTGGAATTTTCTGATAGTGTGGTTCTGATATAAATCTTTGCAAACACCAGTGTAATTTGACTCTCCAGACTTGTTCCAGTGCATATATGGGACTGTGATATCTACCTAGGCTAACCTTAAGGAGATGTGACTCTCCTGCCTGGGCCCTTCTCTCAGTAAGTATTGTACATATCACTGGATCTAGCATACTATTGATGTTGCATTCTTGCTTATGCCATGCCAATCACAATTATTGTGACATATATTTGTGTGCACCTCATAGGTGATGTAAGTCTCATCTCTGGAACGGATCCTGCACAAAGGAAGGATAGTGACATATTGTAAAGCCAGGCGTACAGCTGTGGGTATTGTTTGCCAGAGTCATGCCCAAACTAGGACATTGTGACACATCTCTATGCCTATCACTTAGGTTAGGTGGCTCTCCTGCTTGGGTGATGACAACCTGGAGAGTAACATATTTCTAGGCAAGACACACAGGTGATGATACTCTTTTGCCAGGACTATGCTTCACAGAGGACTTTGTAACCTATCTCTTGGGCCTATCAACTAGTCAATGGGATTGAATGCTTTGGCCTCATGCACATAGAGCATTGTGACATAAAAGAGAAACATACACCAAGGTGATGTAACTCTTTTGCCTTGGTTCTGTCCTAATGGGGACTTGTGACATATCTTAGGACCCAGCTCCCAGATGATGTGGCTCTTCTGCCTGGTTTCTGCTCACGTGTTGGATTGAGACTATACCTAAAGAAGCCTCTTCTGCCTGAGTTCTGCCTACTGGGACATTGGAACATATCTCTGAGCTGATGAACTAAGTGATATGACTTTCCTCCCCTGCCTCAGCCTTTAAAATGCTGAGAGTGTGACATATTTTTGAGACCAGGATTTAGGGTATGTGACTATTTTCTTTTTTCTAAACCATTTGCACAAGTGGAAATTTTGACCTATTGCAGTCAGATGATGTTACTCTTCTACAAGAGTCCTGAATAATGAGGGAGTTACTGCATAATGGTGGGTCCAGCACCCTAATGATGCTACTGTCCTCTCAGTGCCAGAGCCATAAAGAGTATTTTGACACATTTTCAGTCCATTCTGTAAGTGTTGTGGCTTTCTTCCCTTGGATACGTTGTTTTACAAGTAAAATTTCATCATATTGTTGGATCCAACACCTCGTTAATGTGACCCTCCTTTCTATATTCTGCCTAGAGAAGTCACTGTGACATGCTGCATGCCACATCACATGCCACATCACCTACATGATGTGACTCTTTTTTGCCGAGAAATGGGATTATGAAATATAGCTTGCTTCAGTTCACAGGTATGATGGTAAAACTTACATTTGATTCAGCCAATAGAAGATATTTTATCTCTCATCACAAGGCTTAAGGCAATAGGTAAAATCCTGGGTTGCATATTTGTACAAAGCTCACAGAAGTATACAACAATAATCAATATTGTATAAACTCCTTGGGTGGTACACAGACTCTCCTCACAAGGCCCAGCAAAATGTTTAAGATTGTGACTCTCAATTACACAGGCAGGTGCAAATAAAAGTTGTCACCATCCCTCATTTACAAAGCCCATTTTTGAGATGCTGACTCTAACAAGTGAAAACAGTACAAAGATGGAATTGTGATTCTCATTTGGGGATTTTGCCACAGGCTCAATAGTGACTCATTTTTAGACCCATCTCACAGGCATAAAAATAAGTCTCATTCCTGAACTAAGCATAAATGAGAGATGTTGACTATCATGTCTGGGTTTAAGGCAATATACAAGATTCAGAGTTGATATGACCATGTAGACCTCAGAGTAGTTAGCAAATCTCATGCATGTTGTAAAAAACTTTCAGATGTTCTAAAGGGTGTCATGTAATGGTTCAGCACACATGTGACAATGTGACTTATATACACGCAAAGCTGACAGTTAAAGGTGTCATCTAAAAGATGAGGAGATTCTGTCATATCACTGGGCCTAGTACCCAGGTGTAAAAACTGACTTAATTGTTTGCCATGTGTGCATTGTGACATATCGTTAGGTCACAGTCATAATAATGTGACTCTTTTGCCTTAGTCCTGCAAGGTAGGGACATTATATATATCTGAGCCTATCTGCTAGGTGATTTGTCTATTTTGCTTGTGCTTTTTCCCCAAAGAACATTGTGACATCACTGGGTGTAACATCTAGGAATTGTGACTCTTCTCTGCGGCCTAGGTCCTGCCGGCTAAAAGAATTGTGACATGATGCTGAATGCAAAACCTAGGTAATGCAATTCTCCTCTTTATTCTAGATTCTGCCAAAATGGGGATTATTCCATGTTGCTGAGCCCAGCATCTAGGTTGTGTGACTCTCCTCCATTTCTTTAACCCTGTTCACATTTGACATGGTGTCACATTACTTGAGGCTGTAATCAGGTGATGTGACTCTTCTGACTTGGCCCTGCCTGCAAAGGAGATTATAATGTATCCTGAGCTCACCTTCCAGGTGATGAGACTCTCCTGCCATGTTTCTGCCCACAGGTAAAAGTTTGACATACACCTGTGTTCACCTACCATGCACAAATATAACTATCATACCTGGCTCCAAAAAGGAGAGATATTTTGATGCTCCTACCCAGTCTTATAGCCATAAGTAAAGTAATGAGTCTCCTAATGGTATAAAGTTCACACAGTATTATGACACTCCAGCATATCATATAAAGTGTGAGAGGTATACATAGTGTTATAACAGTGAACAGCAACCCAATGCTATTGGGATTATTGGATTCACACTCATCAGACACAATTGTCATTGCCTCACAAGAACATGGCCTCCAAATAAGGTACTAAATCTCACCAAAAGAGCAGTCAAAGTATGAAATTTTTCCTCTCATATGTTGATCTGACCTACAGGTGATTTGGGGATGCATAATTCAGTGCACATATGAGGCTGTGACTCTCCCACTTGACACTCATCTCCACTTGACACTCATCTCCACTTGACAGTCATCAACTGGTTTTGCCATCTTTTACATGGATTATGCCCATTGTTGGGATTGTGTCTCCTCTGTTTTGACCCACCTCACAGGAGGTGTTTACTTATGTACACAAAGCCAGGACTTGTGTGGGACTGTGAAACTTACTTTTGAATATTTCCTGGTGTGTGATTAGGGCATAAAAGTTAGCCCAGCTCCTGAGTAATTTGACTGTCCTTCTTAGGCCATAACCTGAGATGAAATTGTTATATACATGGACCAAACACCTAAGAAAAGGTACATGTTCCTGCCTACAAATGGCACTTTTACATATCACTGGGACAGGCACCCAGGTAATGTGAATTCTTTGCCTGATTCCTGCCTATATAAAGCACTGTGGCTTATATCTAGGTCTATCACATAAGTGATGTGGCTTACTTCTACTGCCTTTGCCTGCAATTATGTGAATTGTGACACATAACTGGATATTACACCCAGGTAATATGACACTAAATTTTGTGTTCTACAAACAGAAAGCTTTGTAACATATCACTTGGCTCAGCACCTAGGTGATGTTTCTACCTTCTTGCCTTGCTCTGACCACAGGGGAGATTGTGACATATTGATAAACCCAGCACCAAGGTGAGGTCACTTTCATACCTCGGTTCTGTACATAGCAGCCACTGTGACATATATCTAGGCCAATTGTCTAGGTAAAGTGATTCTCCTCACCTTAAGCCCTGCCCACAGAAGAAATTTTGATATATCACTAAAATCAACATCCAGGTGATGTACCTTTTATTCCAGGGTCCTGGCCACAAGAAAAAAAGTGACATCTCACAGGACGAGCACCCTCACAGGTGATGTGACATTTCTGCTTTCTCTCTGCCTATAGATTACATAGTGCCATATAGTTGACACCAAATGAGAGGACCAATCAAGATGCTTAAAACTGAAGCCAGGTCATATCCAAGATGGAGACTTCCATTCCTGGAGCTTTCCACCAGTGTTATTGTGACATATTTCATTTCCCATCTCTTGAGTGGCTTAATAATCCTGCCTAAATGTTGCCCACAAATGATATTTGGATATATTCCTCAGCTGAGCACCTTGACGATTTGACTCTCCTGTCTCAACAGTATCCTCAGGAAGGCACTGGACTCATCATCCATCTAGTTATCTCACTCTCCTCTCCTGTCTGGACCCTCCTTCCACTGGGGATTATAGTGTTTCTAAGCATGCCATCCAAATGATATGACTCTCTTGCCTGATCCCTTTAACATGAGACATTTTGACATATCACTGGGCCTAGCATATAGGTGATATGAGTCTCTTCTTCTGTCTGGAGACTGTGCCAAAAGGGGCATTGTGCCATATATATGGGTGTAACCCCCAGGTGATACAACTTTTCTGCCAGGACTTTGCCTACAAGGAGAATATTGTAACACATCACAGAGTAAATTGTTACATATACCTAGGCAGAACTTACAGGCATGATAATGACCGTTATATGTGGTACCCATAAATAGGAGTAATTTTGAGCCTTATAACTTGCTTCAGAAACACAATGGATTGAATCACTTTCTGGTAAAAAAGAAGACAAGGAAGGTTACAACAGCCTCATATTTTGTAAAGAACTTGGCTCATACAAAGAGTTTCAGAACAGAACCCAAGAGAAAGGTGAAACTGTGAGTCTTATATGTACACCCACCTGACAGTAACCACTGTCACTGTCTCACATATACGATGCAAACTGTCAATCATAAAAACAGGACATGTGTGGTATTGTACATCTCATCCTGAGAATTTTCTGCCAGTGTGACTGTGACATAAATCTTTGCCAAACACTTGTGTGATTTTACTCCCAGACTTGTTCCAGCCCACATATGCTATTGTGATATCTACGTGAGCAAAACTTTAGGTGATATGATGCTCCTGCCTGGGCCCTGCTCTCAGTAAGAGTCACTACATATCACTAGATCCAGTATCCAAGTCATGTTACATTTTTGCCTGAGCCATGCATACAGAAATCATTGGGACATACCACTGTGCCAACCACTTAGGCAACAAAACTCTCCCCATTAGAATGGGTACTGCACACAGTGAGTGATAGTGATATATGACTGGGCCAGGCACAGAGGTGACAGTACTTATATGCTAGGACTATGTCCTAAAGAGGGCATTGTGACAAATCTCTTGGCCTATCACCTAGGTGATGTTGCTAATCTGCTTGGGTTCTGCTTACTAAGATAGTGACATATTGCTAGGCTATGCACACAGGTGATGGTACTCTTTCACCAGGGCCATGACTCAATGTGGACATTGTGACATATATATATGGGTCAGTCACCTAGGTGATGTGGCTCCCTGCTTGTGTCCTGTCCTTATGGAGCATTGTGACATTTTTCATACTTATTTTTTGTAACTCTCTTGCCTGTGTGCTGTCTTAAGGAAGCCATGTGACATAACTTAGAACCCAGCATCAAGATGAAGTGACTCTTCTGCCTGGTTTCCCCTCGCATGTTAGATTGTGTCATATACCTAGGAAGCACCTAGGTGATATGACTCTTCTCTTCTGCATGAGCACTACCTACTTGGGACATCATGCCTTGTATCTGAGCCTGTGTCTTAAGTTATGTGAACCTTTTCTTCTGCAAGAGGCTTTAGAATGGGGTGATGTGACATATTGCTAAGCCTAATACTTAGGTAATATGACTTCTTTTTTCCTGAACCATGACTATGAAAAGGAACTTTGGTTTATTGCTGGGCCCAGCATACAGATGATGTTTCTCCTCTAACTAGGTCCAACATAAAGAGAGAGTTATGGCATATTGCTGGGACTCCCACCCTGATGATGTAAATCTTCTGCCTGTTCCAGAGTAGCAGAAAGTATTTTTACATACCATGCGCCTATTCTGTAAATAATTTTGTTCTCATCATTTGTATGTGTTTGTTTTTCCTACATTTTCTATGTTTAGAGTTGTGTCATTCCACTGAGTCCAGCACCCAGTTATCATAACCCAATTACTAGACCCTGCATGGAGGGGACATTGTGACATGTTTCTTGACACAGCACGTCAGTTTTCTACCTTTCTGAAAAGTTTTTTGTTTTCTACAAATGGTGTTATGAAATTTACATTGCTTCAATTCAGAAGCATCATGATCGAACTGAAATTGGAATTTCACCAATACTATATGTTTTGCCTTTCATTGCTACACTTAAAACAACAGGTAAGTTTATGAGGTGCAAGTTTGTAGAAAGTTCACAGAATGTTACAACACTAAACTCCTTGCTTGGTACACAGAGTTTTATAACAGGGCCCAGCAAAAGTTAAGATTGTGACTCTTGATTACACATGAAGGTGAGAGCAAAAGTTGTCAACATCCCACATTCACAAAGCCCACTGTTGAAGCACTGAGTTTAACAAGCAAATAAAGTACAAAGATAGATTTGTGAATTTCACATATGGCTCTTGCTACAGGTGAGATGGTGACTTACTTCTGGACCCAAATCACAGGCATAATAATGGGTCTCCTGTCTGAACATAACCTGTAAAAGGGATGTTGATTATCATAACCAAGTTTAAAGCAATACATATCTTTGTGAGTCAATAGGAGCATGTAGTCCTCAGAATGGATTGCAACTCTCATGCATGTTGCTTAAAGCCTTTGTATGTTGTAGAGTGTGTCATGGGATCAGCCAGAACACATATGAGATTGTGACTCTTATATACTCACCAAGTAAAGATTCAAAGTTGTCACCCTAATACATAAAGAGATTGTTCCATGTCACTAGGACTAGTACCTCCAGGTGTTGAGAATTTTTGGCTTAAATTCTTTTCAATGGTTGTATTGTAAAATATCCCTGGGTTTGAATTACAATAATGAAACCCTTTTGCTTGAACCCTGACAGCAGGGGATATTATCACATATCTTTAGGCCTATCAGCTAGGTTGTGTATCTCTCCTGCCAGTGCCCTGCCCAAAGAGGACACTGTGACATATCGCTAGATGAAGAATCTAGGTAATGTGAATCTCCTCTCCTGCAGGATCCTGCCCACTGAATAAATTGTGACATATGACTGAGTGTAAAATCTAGGTGATGTGACCCTCCTCTTTGTCCTGGACTCTGCCAATAGAGGAAATTATAACATATTACTGAGGCCAATCCCAAGAGAATGTGATTATCCACTACTTTTTCAACCCTGTATTTACAGTGGGCATAATGACATATTACTTAAGACTGTACCCAGGTGACATGACTCTTTGGACTGGATCCTGCCTATGAAGTAGATTAAAATGTATCCCTGGATCAGAGCCCAGATGGTAGGACTCTTCTGTCTTGTCTCTGTCCAAAGGTGAGCTTGTGACATATACCTGGATTCAGCTTATGTGCATAATAATAACTCTCAAAACTACTGCCAGCCTGGGAAGGTATTTCAACTCTCATATCTAGTCTTACAGCCATGAGAAAAGTCCTATATCACCAACCTGTAAGAATACACAGAAAAGTATCCCACTGAGGCATATCATATAAAGCCTGAGTGGTCCAAAGTGTCTCATAACAGGCACCAGAAGCCAGGGTGTCTTGGATGCACACCCAGCTGACACAATTGTTTTTTTTCACACATAAACAGATCCTACCAATGTGATACTAAATCTCACTCACATAGGCCATCAAAGCTTGAAATTGTTACTCTCATATATAAATCTGATCCGCAGGTGTTTGATGATGTTTGAACCATGATTAAGCAGAACTGTGGTGTTGTGTCTCTCTTATTGGAACACAATCTTCAAGTGGGATTGGAGTTCTTACACACTGACCTTCCCATTGTTGATTGTGAGTCCTGTACTTTGACCCAACTCACAGAAGGTGTTGATTCTCATACCTGAAGCTAGGATTTGTGTGGACTGAAAATTATTTCTGAACCTTTCTGAAAGTGTGAGTGGGTCAGGTAACTCTGCCCAGGACATGGGTAGTTTGATGAACTTTTCTAGGCCCAAACCACAGATGAAATTGTGCCATATGTGGAAAAAGCCCCAAATCAATACATAACATCATACTTTGTTCTGCCTACAAAGTGCAGTTTTATATATCACTGGGACCATCACCCAGGTGATGTGATTTACCCACCTGAAAACTGCCTACAAAGAGAATTGTGTGTTATATTTAGGTCCATCACATAAATTATGTGACTCCCTTCTACTGTCTTGGCCCTGCAGTTACAGAGCATTGTGACACATAACAGGGTAGTGCACCCAGGAGATGTGATTTTTTTTTTGGTTGGGGGGTTGCCAATAGGAAGCATTGTAACCTATAACTTCTCTCAGTACCAAGGTGATGTTTCTTTACTTTTCATTGTGCCCTGACCTCAGGGAGCATGTGACATACTGCTGGGCACAGCACCAAGGTGAGGTCATTCTTTAGCCTTATTCCTGCAGTTAATGGTCATTGTGACATATATCTAGGCCAATTGCCTAGATGAAGTGGGTCTCCTCTCATGCCAAAGTCCTTACCTCAGAGAATGGTTTTTACGTATCGCTGAAACCAGCATCCAAGTGATGTGACTCTTCTGCAAGGGCTTTGCCCACCAGGTGGATTGTAACATCTCACTGGACCCTCACCCATGTAGATTATATGAGTTTCTTGCCTTATCTCTGGCCACAGGTGATATTATGCCATACAACTGAGACCAAAACAAAAGCCTAAGAACAACTCATATGCCTAGAGCCAGGACATGTGCAGGATGGTGACTCTAATTCTTAAATCTTTCCACAAGTGAAATTGTGACACATATCTTTGCCCAGCTCTGGATAGATTTAATAATTCTCCCTAGGTATAGCCCACAAATGAGATTTTGACAAATACCTGACCAAGTAACTTGGTGATTTTATTGTGTTATCTTAACAATGTCTTCAGGGGACATTGTAACATATTTCTGAACACACCATCTAGGTTACATGATTCCTCTCCTGCCTGTACCCTGCTTCCTTTGATAATTGTAACATTTCTAAACACTGCATCCAAATTATATGACTCTCTTTCCTGGGCTCTGTCAACAGGCAGCATTTTGACATATATGTCAGCCCATCATTTAGGTGATATTACTCTCCTTTTCTGCCCAGACACTGCCCACAAGGGTCATTGTGCCACAGACCTGGCCCTAGCACAAAACTTATGTGACATTTCTGACAAGACCCTGCCTACAAAGAGAATATTGAAATATTTTAGGCCCAGAATTTAGGTGATGAGGCTGTTCTGCCTGCTTTATAACCAAGATGGAATTGCAACATATACCTAGGCAGGGCTCACAGGAATGATAATGACTTTTATATGTGGACTCAGCAAATAGAGAATATTTAGGCTCTTATAACTAGGTGTAGTGACATGTGTGATGTCATGGATCACTTTCTTGTACAAAGGTCACAAAAGATTACAACACTCACACATACTTTAAAAAGTATTTGGGTTATATAAGCAGAGCTAACGTAGCACTCAGCACACAGGCAAAATTGTGAGTCTTGTATGAAAACCCAGCTGACAGAACAGTCATCATTTCACATGGATGAAGCCAACTGTCACATATAAAACAGAACATGAGCGGTATTGTAAATCTCCCCTTTGACATTTTCTGACAGTGTTATTTTGATACACATATTTGCCAAGCACCTGTGTAGTTTTACTTTGCAGAAAGGTCCGAGTTTATATATGAAATTGTGATATCTACCTAGTTCAACCTCGAGGGGATGTGACTCTCCTACCTGGGTGCTCTCTCAGTGAGGGTTGCGACATATCACTGGATCTAGCAGCTTGGTGATGTTACATTCTTGCCAGTGCCATGTCCATCAAAATTACTGTGTCATGTTTCTGTGTCCACCTCATAGGTGATGTAACTCTCATCTCTGGAGTGGGCCCTGCACAAAGGAAGGATAGCGGCATATAGCAAGGCCAATCAAGCATGTGAGGATACTCTTTTGCCAGAGCCAACCTGAAAGCAGGACATTATGACATATATCTGGGCCCATCACCTAGGTTATGTGGTTCTCCTGCTTGGGCCCTGCCAACCTTAAGAGTGACATATTTCTAGGCCAGGCATACAGGTGAGGGTACTCTTTAGCCAGGTCTATGCTTCACAGAGGACATTGTAACATGTCTCTTGGGCTGTCACCTGACTGAAATGACTCCCTCTCTGGGACCTACACTCATGGAACATTGTGGAATAAACAGAGAATCTGCACATAGTTTATGTTACCCTCTGTGCTTGATGATATTCTAAGAAGGCCTTGTGACATATCTCAGGACCCAGCACCCAAGTGATGTGGTTCTTCTTCATGATTTCTGCAAACATGTTACTTTGTTCATATATGAAGGGAAGCACCTAGGATATGACTTTCCTCATCTCAATGAGACCTACCTAATGGAAACATTTGGACATATTTCTGAGCCCATAGTATGAAGATATGACTCTATTTTTTGACTGGGCCTTCACAATAAGAAGATTTTGGCACATAGCTGATCCCAGCACTCAGAATATGTAACTCTCCTCTTGTTTCTGAACATGCCCACAAAAAAGGAATTTTGACCAATTGCACGGACCAACATCCTGATGATGTTACTCTCCTGCCTGTGTTTTCCATAAAGAAGAAATTATGGCATATTGCATATTGCTAAGACCAGCATCCTTATGATATGACTTTTCGGCCTGTGTTGGAGCCACTGAAGGTATTTTGACATAGCTTCAGCCCATTATGTCGATGTTTTGGCTCTCATAACTTGGCTGGGTATTTTCCACATGTGGAATAGGGTCATATTACTGGGTCCAGCACCCAGTTAATGTGACCTTATATCCTATACCCTGCCTAGAAAAGGTATTTTGACATATTGGCTGGCACAGCATATAAGAGATATTTCCCTCCTGCCTAGTTATTTGCCCACATATGGGATTAATACATACACCTTGCTTTAGTTGACAGGCATAGATGATCAAATTTATGTTGGGATTCAGCCAATAGGAGATATCTTATCTCACATCATTAGGTTTAGAGCAATAGGTAAGGTCCTCTGTTACATATTTCTACCAATGTTACAGAAGCTTACAACACTGACTTATATTTTTCAAACTCCTTGGTGGTAGAGTGTTTCCTAACAGGGCCCAGCAAAAAGTTCAGATTGAGACTCATGTTTACATACCTAGGTGAAATTAAAATTGTCACCATCCAATATTTATAATGCCCAATGTTGAGGTCCTGAGTCTAACAAAGGAATACAGCACAAAGTTGGAGGTTTGACTTTTATATGTTAATCCGACAAGAATTGGGATGGTAACTCATTTGTGGATCCAGCTCATTGGCATAATAATGGATTTTTTTCTTAACCCTGCCTATAGGAAAGATGTTGACTATTAGACCTGAGTTTGGAGCAATATGTAAGATTGTGAGTCCATAGGAGCATGTAGACCTCAGAGAACTTTGCAACTCTCATACAGGTTTATAAAACCCTCATCTCCTGTAGACAGTGTTATATATTGTCCTGCAACACATATAAGACTGTGACTGTAATATACTTTCTCAGGTAAAAGTTAAAGCTGTCACACTCAAAGATGTGGAGATCGGATCATATGACTCATCCTAGTACCCAGGTGTTGAGACTTTTTGGCTCATATTCCTTCCCATGGGTTCATTGTTACATATTGATGGGTCAGAATCATAATAACATGACTCTTTTGCCTGGGCCCTGTCAATAGGGGGTACTATTACATATTTCTGGGCCTTTCAGGTAGGTGATATGTCTCTGCAGCCTGTGTCCTTCACCCAGAGGACATTTTGAAATATCACTGAAACTAGCATCTACGTAATGTAACTCTGATCTCCTGCCTGGGTCTTGCTTATTGAAGGAATTGTGACATATGGCTGAATGAAAAACCTAGGTGGTATGATGTCTCTCCTGTCTATTCAAGAGTTTATATCTGTGCTGCATTTTATTTCATTACTTTGGTGTTCTACCTTTATACTGGTAGCAAAGTCCTTTGTTACTGTAGGTTTGCTTAGTGTTTGGAAATTGTTATATGTAATGCTTCCAATATTTTTCTTTTTCTTTTTTTTTAAGATTGTTGGACTTTTCATGGTTTCTTGGAATCTTATGTAATTTTGTGGGTTTTTTCTATTTTGGAAAAGTAAAATTAAAAATTGAAAAAGGGTGTGTTGTGGGTTTGTGTCACTTTGAGTAGCATGGACATCTTCACAATATTTTATCTTCCAACCCTAGAAAAACAGCATGCTTAAAAGTGTGCTGTTGGCTGTGTGCAGTGGCTCATGCCTGTAAACCCAGCACTTTTGGAGGCTGAGTAGCATGCATAGAAAGATCAGGAGATACAGGTGGTCCTGGACAACATAATGAAACCCCATCTCTACTAAAATAAAAAAAAAGTTCTGGGCTTGTTGTTGCATTCCTGTAGTCACAGCTACTCTGGAGGCTGAATCAGGAGAATCACTTGAACACAAAAGGTGAAGATTGCAGTGGAGCTGAGATTGTGCCACTGGACTCTAGCCTAGCTTCAGAGTGATACTCCATCAAAAGATAAATAAATAATAAATAAATAAATAAATAAAAAATAAACAAACTGTTGCTTATTTTTTATATTTTTGGGGTTTTTCTGCTCTTCTTTTGTTATTGAATTCTAGTTTCATTCAACCTGGGCTATAAATAATTTTCTGTAAAATTTCTACTAAAAATTATTAAGGCTTCATCTCTGGTGTCACAGATCATCCATCTAGGAAAATGTTTTATGAGCTATTGAAAAGAATGTCTATTCTGTTGTCTGCATACATTTGTTAGGTGTAATTATTGTATAGTGCATTCCAGTTTTTTGTTCCCTTATTGATATTCTGTCTTGCTTTATTTATTACTGAAAGTAAGATATTGATGTATACATCCATTATTATATTGCTGCCTATTTTTCATTCAATTCTGTCAATGTTGGTTTATGTGTTTGGAAGAACTGTCTTTATAGGTATTCAGTGAATTAAACCTCTTACTATATTTGAATGTCTTACTTTGTCTATTGTGAATTTTGACTTAAAATAATTATAGAAAATATAATAGCTTTCAACTTAATAAATAGTTACCTGTTCTAAATAGTTAGTTCTTGATACAGATTATGGTATAGTCAGATTTGTTTTTTCATTGGATGGCTACTTTTGGAGGCTATAGTATTCCTGCTTAGGCTTTTTTTTTTTTCAGTGTTTTAACTACATCGTCTTATACCCTTCATGCCCAAAAGATTGACGTTCATAAATTTGTAGTAATCTTGCAGAAGCATACATACACATCTATTTTTTCTTCCTGAATTCCAGATTATCTTCTTGTCTGTGACTTTCACAACTTTGCTTATATTTTGTCCATTAGAAATATCTTTCTGTTAACCTTAGTTAAAATTAGCTGAGCTTCTTGATTTTCTTAAATTTTTTTACTAATGTTGAAGTTCATATTAGCCTGTTTTTGTACTTCTACTCCACAATTTTTATTTATTTTGGGATTTTAATCTTTTTGTTGGTTTCTTTTCTTTTTTTATTTTTTTCTTTATTTCCATTTTACTGATTAACATCATTGAGATGGCGATTTTAAATTTTAGCATAATTTATTTATTTCTTTTTAAAAATAAACCTAGAATTTAATCCAAATTGCCTCTGGTAATTTTTACATCTCTATTTTCTTATAGTTGATTTCTGGATATTCATGTTTATCTTTGAGCCATATTATCTTGATGTTTTGTATATGTTGTTATCTTAGGTTGCAATTCGTATAATAAAAAACAACATTTCAAAATCTCCATTAAGTGGCTTTGTCTGGGGGAATATGATACCAATTTATTAGGCTAGAGGTTCTTGGAGTCTCTCAAGCCTGTTCTTTGGATGCTTTCTCTGTTTTTTGTTGTTTGTTTGTTAAAAAGATTTCCTCATGTTTTTTTCTTGTTTTCTTCTTTCCTTTATTTTTATTTTTTATTTTTGAGTTGGAGTTTCACTGTTGTTGCCCAGGCTGGAGTGCAATGGCATAAACTTGGCTGACTGCAACCTCCACATCCCAGATTCAAGCAATTCTCCTGCCTCTGCCTACTTAAGAGCTTGGATTACTGGTTTCTGCTGTGGCTAACTTTTGTATTTTCAGTAGAGACAGGGTTTCACCATGTTGACCTAGCTGGTCTTGAACTTTTGACCTCAGTTGATCCACCCTCCTCAGCCTCCAAAGTGCTGGAATTACAGGTGTGAATCAACGCTCCCAGTAATTCCCCATATTTCTCATTGAGATCCTGCAGTCAGCTGGATGCCCATTGTCTGTCTATGACACTGAAGATTTTTTCTTTTGATGGTCTTTTGTCTTTAGTCACAACTGCCCAAAACTGTCAAAGTTTACCACCTTTCCTTTAAACACTGTTGTGAATATACAAATTAGTCTTTGATAAGGTCTCAGAAAGCCAGAAGCATGGACATAAGTGCCACCAGTTTATTTATTTTTGGAGGGTAAGATAGGAGTTATCAGTCTCTACATTTTTCATAGGATAAAAAATGTCCGTGGTGTGTAAATATGAAATAGTTTTGTTACACTTCTATATGTTTCTTGGCATTTTACTCACTTGGGGTGCTGCAAATGCTTAACTGATTCTTAGACTTCTCACAAAGGCATTTTGGTAAGTATATTACTGTTAAATTTATATGTCTGTAAAGGAATTAGGGACTATGGTATTCTATTGTCACTTTGTTAATGTGGTTTGTATAATTACATGTTTGTAAAATGTACTCACCTGAGTCTAATGAGGGAGAAATTTTTTTCTTTTGTCTTCAGTTGGCTCTTTTCATTTAACTGCAGAGATATTGACAGACCACAAAAGAAAAGATTCATTCCAAAAAGTGATTCTGATAAAATATGAAAGCTGTGACTTTACTGATTTTCATTTAAAGAAAGACTACCAAAGTGTGGGTAATTGCAAAGGGCAGAAGAGCAGTTTAATGGATTTCATCAATGTTTATCAACTACCCAGAGCAAAACTTGTCAGTGTAATAAATGTGGCAAAGCTTTAGAGTTGTGCTCAAACTTCAGTGAGCATAAAAAAAATTTAGTGGAGAGAAATGCTACAAATGTGAAGAATGTGGCAAAGACTGTAGGTTGTTCTCAGATTTTACTATAAAAAAGATAATTCATATTGCAAATAATCCTACAAATGTAAAGAATGTGACAAAGCTTTTAAAAAGTTTTCAAGCCTTACTGAACATAAAAGAGTCCATACTGGAACAAAACCCTACAAATATAAAGAACGTGGCAAACATTTACATGCTCCTCAACCCTTATTTAAACACAAGAGAAATCATACTGGAGGTAAACCCTACAAATGTGAAGAATGTGGTAAAGCCTTTAAGTACTTCTCAGACCTTACTAATCATAAGAAAATTCAAACTGTAGGGAAACCCTACAAATGTGAAAAATGTGACAAAACATTGAGCTTGTTTTCACAGCTCATTGGACATAAGATAATTCATAGTAGAGAGAAGGTCCATAAGTGTTAAAAAAAAAAAGTGGACCTTTAACAAGTCCGCACATTGTGTTCAGCAACAGAGATTTAACACTGAACAAATGCAATATAAAGGTAATGACTGTTTAAGACCATTTAATTTGACATCTTGGAGGGTATCTGAGAACTTGCTTTATAATCTGGATGCTTTTGCATTGGATGTATATATAGCACTTTACTCTTATGGAATATTCTTTTTTGTCTTTTTTTAATCCATGTTAACTAAAAGCCTGTTGTACAAGAAACTATAATTGTAACCCCTGCTTTTTTTCTGCTTTCTATTTGCTTGGTAGAATGTTCTTTTTCCCTGTATTTTGAACTTATTTTAGATGGGTGTCTAGATTACAACATACCATTAAATATTAAACCTGCATTCAACTGTTTTTCAATTGGGGCATTTAGCCCATTTACATTTAGCATTACTATTTATGAGTGTGGATTTGATTCTGTCACTATGATCTTAACTGGTTATTTTGCACATTTATGTAGTTGCTTTAAAGTGCTAGCTATTTATGTACTTTAGTGTATTTTTTTTTGTAGTGACTGCTAATAGTCTCTTATTTAATGCTTTTTTCGGAAGCTCTTGTAGGACAGGTCTTGTGGTAATAGATTTCCTCAGCTGTTGTTTATCCAAATACGATTATATTTATTATTTATTTTGAAGCTTACTTTGGTAAGATATAAAATTCTGGTTTGGAATTCTTTTTTTTTTTAAGAATGTTGAATATTGGCCCCAAGTCTCTTTTGATTTGTAGGATTTCAGCTGAAAGATTTGTTGTTGGATAATATCTGGAAATATGTATTTCCAGTTGTTTTCATTCTCCCCCTCACTTTCAGGCACTCTTTTTAATCATAGATTTGGTTTCATTACATAATCTTGCATTTCTTAGAGACTTTGTTCATTCATCTTTATTTTCTCTCACTATTTTTCTCTGTTTTATCTCAGAAAGCCAGTCTTGAAGCTTTGAGATTCTTTTCACTACATGGCCCATTTTTCTGTTAATACTTGTGATTACATTATAAAGTTTTTGTATTTTGTGTTTTAGCTCTATCCAGTTGACCACATCTTCCTCCTGATTGGCTGCTTTTTCTAGCAGTTCCTGCAATTTTTTCCCTTCATTGCATTGTGTTACAACTTACATTTGTAGCTCAATAAAGTTTATTTCTATCCAAATTCTGAATTCTCCTTCTGTCATCTTTGGCCTTCTGTCATCTTGACCAAATTATGTAATTTTGGTCATTTGCATAAAAGAAGTCACTGTGGCTTTTTTTGTTTTCAACATTTTTGCAGTGATTTTTGCCTAATCTTTGTGGGCATAACTTTGAGGTTGCTGATCTTTGAATGGAGTATTCTTTTTTTGATCCTATTCAATTGTCTGTAATATTTGACTGTGGTATAAGGTGGATTAAGCCAACAGCCTTTGTTCCTGGAATATTTTTGTTTGTTTGTTTTTTGGTGGTGTGTTTGGCAATGCTCAGCTCACAACTCAGAGGCTGCATGCTCTTGGGCAGTTGTATTTTTTTCCAACTGTCTTCTGTGGCTCCTTGATATTTGGAGTCCATTACTCTGTATGACTAACCTGCCACAGCTGCAGCAAAGTGCTAGTGGATATGGGTTTTCTGCCTGTCTTTGGGCATTTACCTTACTGGCAGGAGCAAAGAAGCTGGAAGGGGAACTGGAAGTTACCTTCTGGAGACTGTGTGTGCTGTTGCACTAATGGTGATGTTAGCTTGGGGCAGCATGCTGGCCAACAAATGTTGTGATGCCTTCTTTGTGCCCCACCAATAACACAGTGATGGTTCAGAGTGTGGGAGAATACACATTTCTCTTCACAGTGTTAGCACAAAGGCAGAGTTGTGGCTTTCTGCCCACCAAACTTCATCTATAATGGCAGCTGCTGTGGATGGCAGGGGCATACTGCATTCTCATTTGCTGGTGGGGCAAGGAAAGCGAAACCCACCTTTGCAGACATGTGCCACCAAAGTAATATCAGGAGTTGCTATGGTCTCTGGAGAAGCTGCATATGGGGAGTATAAATGTGGGCTGGTGCAGTCATAGGGGCTGCCTTGCTGGAGCACATAGGGCTGAGGCATGGCCCACCAATGCAGATGCTATGGTATGGTAAACTACTCTTCTAGGGGAGCTGAGACTACACTGTAAGCAGCTGCAGCCAGACTGGGATCCTGGGAGAGCTGAGCAGACTTAAAAGTTCTCACTTGGAGCAGTTTCTTCTCATTTGTAAAAACATCCTGCAGAAGTTAGGTCCAACAGGTTCTCTAGGGCTAAAGCCTTTTATGAGAGAAAGTTTAGCCTAGAGAAATGGCCACCACTGGCCACACTTTAATACAGATGCTCTTGTGCCAAACCCACTGGACACCACATAAGCTGGCTTGCTGCCCCACTTCTTTGCTTCTCTTCTGGGGGCTGAATCTCCGAGGGATGTAGGTCAGCAATCCCTCAGTGCAGTCAGCCCAGGATGGAGGATCTGTGCTTTTGGCCAAGTTAGAGGTTCACTTCTGGTGAGCAGCTGTGAGTAGTGTGTGGAACCCATGGAGGATGGACTGGCCTCCTCTCCTTGGGTAAACTGCAGCTTGTTTAAATTGTGAATAAAGCACTTAGATTTTTGGATTTTTCATTAACCTGAGGGAAGCAAGGACAGATCTACTGCAGAAGCAGTGGCAGAAATATATTCAGTTGGTGCTGGAGCCCCTGTCCAGGGAATTGCTAATTTTCTACTGGTTCAATAGCTCTGGCAATGATTCATTAGTGGCCCAGTCCTGGAGAATCTTCCCAGTGAGAATACATGAGAACAGCTGCTTATGTAACAGTCTGACTACTTTCTGAAGGGCTGCTGCAGGATGCTGAGTGTCCACTACAGTTTCTAGTCACCTCAGATTTTCCAGTACCTGAAGTTATCAACAGTAAATGCTGCAAAGCAGCAACAATGGCAGCATGCCCTTTTCTCTGGGCACTCTATCCCAGGGAGGTATAGACCTGTTTCCAGGACAAAAGCACATATAGGAGGTAGCTAAAAACCTCTGTTGAAAGGTTTAGGCAGTGAGGATAATGTGATTGGGGACCCACTTAAAAAGCAGTTTAGCCACATTTTTGTAGGACAGCTTTGCTGGACAGAGGTACCACTTTTACACTCAGTTTATTTGGATTCTCAAAAGCCAGATGGCTGGAACAGCTAAGTCACACAAACAGCAAATGTGGCAGCTCACTCTTCCCTCCAGGAACTACATCCCAAATATGTTTCAAAATTCCATCTACAAAATAGCACAAGTGGCGGTAGCTGGACACGCTGGTTGGAAAGCACTTTCCAGTGAGGAGGAATGAGATTGCAGACCTGCTTTAACAGGCAGTCTGACCATGTCTTTTTAGAGCACCTGTACCATGGTAGGAGATTCTTTCTGTTCCCAGTTGGCTTGGGCTCTTCTCAGCCTGAAGGCTGAAATGGCTAACTTGCACAAGCAACAAAGATGGCGGCCCAATTTTCTTTCTGGTGTAGCTCTATCACAAGAAGGTGAAATTCTGTTTCAATGGTTGGCTGGAATTCTAAGCCAGTAGGTCTTACCCTGTGAGGAATTGTGGAAGTGAGTTCTACAGACCATCACTGCTCAGCACCATGGATTCTGCCTCTTTCCTGTGGGTATGGAAAAGCATTTAACCTCCTGCTTTGCTGGAGTTGCAGCTAATTTTTCTGGGAAGGCTTGAAAGACAGATTATCTAAGACTCTTGAATCTCTGCACTAGCCTGAGTGGCTGATCTTCTGAGACTTTATGTAACTCTGTGTGTTAAATGGAAGGCTATGATGAAGTGGGTTCATGAGGGTATCTCGTTACCTGAGGGCTGCAAAGATCTGTGAGAGAATCACAGGTTGTTAGGGCCACATAAGCAATTACTGATTTACTGGGTGGGGAATTTCCCTTGGCTTCATGTTTTTCCTGGGTGGCCCATTTTCTTGCCTTGTTTTGTTCCATTTTCCATTAGATAAATTGTTTCTTTGATTGATCCCAACGTAAGTACCTGGATGTTTCAGTTGAATGTGCTGTATTTCTGAACATTTCGCATTTCTCTCTGTGAGAACAACAGGGTCTAGAAGTTTCTAGTTGGCAATCTTGATTACTTTTCTCTAAAAGAAACCTAATTAACTATTTTAAAAGAAATTAGGTCTGGCCGTGGCTCACTCCTGTAATCCCAGCAGTTTGGAATGCCCAGGACAGATCAGGAGGTCAAGAAATCCAGACCATCTTGTCCAATGTGGTGAAACTCCATCTGTACTAAAAATGCAATAAAATTAGCTGGCCATAGTGGTGGGTGCCTGTAGTCTCAGCTACATATGAGGCTGACGCAGAAAGATCCCTTGAACCCAGGAGGTGAAGGTTGCAGTTAGCTGAGATCGCACCTCTGCACTCCAGCCTGGTGACAGAGTGAGATTATGTCTCAAACAAAAATAAAAAATATAATGTAATTTTTAAAGCAATTATTGATGTAATTTAACTCATACATTTGATGATCTCTTCATTTATAGAATTTACATGAAAGAACATGTTCAATGATTGCTGTACCAGAGTTATGAGAGGTTTTCTATATTATATAGATAAATTTACATTCTTTTCTATGGAAGATTAAGGAAAGTGAAATCTAAGATACATGAAGAAAATCTAAGTAGAAATGTCACTTAGTGGTTGGTTTGCAGCAGTATTATAAGTGTCAGGATGACAGGAGTCTGTTAAGTGATCACGTTAATATTATACACAGTAAGAGAAACAATACGAATTTTAGAAGGAAATTGCTTTACCATTTGCAAATTAAGGTAATTAAAATACAGTTAATTTAAAAAGTCCTTTTTAATGACAAGTGTGAACTTAATTTGTTGTAATAAATCAAAATTGTTATTATTGTATTAAGGCTATTTAACATTGAATGTGTATCTTGCCACTGATGTTAACTTATCCCATTTTACACAAGGTTGTAGGTAACAGATGGTAACAATGTACTATTGGGTGACAGTGGAATAACATCTCTAGTGATTACTTTGTTGTGGTCTTTAACTGAAAATAATGTGGAGAATATGGTTTCTACCACTTACATTTTTGTTTTTCTTGTAACTACAGATTATTATGATGGTTGCAATGAAGATTATGAATATAATGGAAATATATGTTTTGGGATTCTGAACAACTATTTACAAAATTTTATCCCACTTTTTTTTGGAAATACAACTTCTCTGGTCTGCTAAACATATACACATCTTCAGTTTTGGTTTACATGGATTTAAATATACAAATCTATCACTGTAAAATGAACTTTAGGTGTAACAGATTTATAAAGAATAATCATATTTTTTATGATCGTGTACCTAATTTTACAAGAAAAATATTATAATGAAACAATTTTACGAGCACTAAATTATCAGCAAACCAAAATCTTCAAAGATTTTGAAAGCAAATTTATTTTCTCTGCTTTGTATTAAATTTATTTATCTAAAATGTCATTGCTGCTGGCTTAGAAACATCTTGTGCAAATTCTTTTTTTATATCAGTTTGCATGTTGTTACCCATAAATATAATACACAATTTGGTGTTTGTTTAATTTTATAAAACATTATTTGTATAATTTCCTCGCAGATTATGAAAATAGCTTTGATAAAATTTAATGGTGTTCACAAAATAATTTTCATATATGAGTAATTTCACAGTGTATTACTGTATGTTATTTATTTAGTACATTTTATAAGTTGTTTCAATTAAAAATCCTATTAATCCATTTTTTGGTTAGTTATAATTCATTTTATTTTATAAAATTTATATAAATGAGTTTATTAAATGTAAAGGACCAATTCATTCAAGTGAATAGTTGAATGTTTTATAAGTCATACAGTCTTTTTGGCATATACATGAAGTAAAAAAAAACAAAATTAGCTATGTAATAGAAGCTACATAATTAGAAATAAATATTCTTTCTGAAATTAGCCTGTTGTCTCAGGTGAAAAATTAACAATAGCTGTAGTAAAGAAATGACATTAATTGTTCACAGGAAGAGTGCATAATTGAATAAAAAACTTGTATTTTTTTTGGTTTATGTTTCTACATTTGAACATTTATGTTTCTACATTTGAACATTTACTAAGGAGGGCAGATGGTAAGCCTATGGAATGGCTGACACATGTTAAGGGTATTCAGAACAGATATTGAAACCTAAAATGTCCTGTAGTCTTTTCATTTAGATTAACAAAACATGGTATTAGTCTTCCCCCTCTATATTCTGGCTTAGACAGAATTATCACTCCATTTTTTTACATTTAACTCTAGGTTGTTGTTTTTTTTTTCCTTTGAGATGGAGTCTCCATCTGTCACCCAGGCTGTAGTGCAATGGTACAATCTGCAACCTCTGTCTCCGAGGTTTGATTCTCCTGCCTCAGCATACTAAGTAGTTGAGAATACGGGCACCCTCCACCAAGCCCAGCTAATTCTTTGTATTTTTTTTTATTGTTATTATTATACTTTAGGGTACATGTGCACAATGTGCAGGTTAGTTACATATGTATACATGTGCCATGCTGGTGTGATGCACCCATTAACTCATCATTTAGCATTAGGTATACCTCCTAATGCTATCCCTCCCCCCTCCCCCCACCCCACAACAGTCCCCAGAGTGTGATGTTCCCCTTCCTGTATCCACGTGTTCTCATTGTTCAATTCCCACCTATGAGTGAGAACATGTGTTGTTTGGTTTTCTGTCCTTGTGATAGTTTACTGAGAATTATGATTTCCAGTTTCATCCATGTCCCTACAAAGGACATGAACTCATCATTTTTTATGGCTGCATAGTATTCCATGGTGTATATGTGCCACATTTTCTTAATCCAGCCTATCATTGTTGGATATTTGGGTTGGTCCCAAGTCCTTGCTATTGTGAATAGTGCCACAATAAACATACGTGTGCATGTGTCCTTATAGCAGCATGATTTATAGTCCTTTGTGTATACACCCAGTAATGGGATGGCTGGGTCAAATGGGATTTCTAGTTCTAGATCCCTGAGGAATCGCCACACTGACTTCCACAATGGGTGAACTAGTTTACAGTCCCACTAACAGTGTAAAAGTGTTCTTATTTCTCCACATCCTCTCCAGCACCTGTTGTTTCCTGACTTTTTAATGATTGCCATTCTAACTGGTGTGAGATGGTATCTCATTGTGGTTTTGATTTGCATTTCTCTGATGGCCAGTTAGTAGAGATGAGGTTTCACCGTTTTAGGCAAGATGGTCTTGATCTCCTAACCTTGTGATCTGCCCACCTTGGCACCCTAAAGTGCTAAGATTACAGACATGAGCCACTACACCTTGCCTTGATTGTAGATCTTGACACAGCACATCCTCAACTTATTGTCTCTGAGGATAGAAATACTGTGTGATATGGAAGAACAAAACCAAATATTTGTTATAACCCAAGGAGTCTTTATTTCTGCCCTACTCTCCTGGGCTCTTAGAAGTGTAGTTCTGGCAGACATTACTGGAAGGTCAATGTAGGCAACAAGCCTAAATGAAAATGGTTTTGTGTCTGAAAACTGTCTTTTTAGGAACTGGCAGAATTAGCCTTCAGTTCTGGGTAGATTTTGGGCAATTAAATAATATACAAAGAGTGGTTATGTTGTGTCAGGTCATTAAGAAAACACACCTTCTGCCAGTAGTAAAACACAGTAAGAATGGTATTTTTTGAACTATGAATTGGGCAATTTTTTAAATATTATAAATAATCAATTTTTTCTGTAAATTTTTAATAATTCTTTCAGAAGAGTTGTTTGGCTTTATTTCTATACTGAAGCAGATTCTGAGCCTCTTAAAATCTGTTCATTATCAGATACTGAAAGATACAGAGTAAGTAAATTAATCTGTTTCAGTTTTTTGTGGGTAATTTAGCCGGTCAACATAATCTCATTGCTGTAATCTTAAAGTTTTACTGATGAAGACAAGAATAGATTTTTTTCTTCTAAAATTTTGGAAACTATAAAAGCATGTTTATAATGCCACTTATGTAGATACTATCAATATCAATTGTCAAGTATATTGGTTTCTAAGAAAAAATATTTGAGAATTAAACTACTCAACATGTCTAATAAAATATTTTTAAGTTGCCTATTTAAATCATCCCTCAATTTTGAATTGTGTACCTAGCTAAATTTTTTTAAGATTAAGGATAAGATGAAAAATAATTTATATAAGTAACATAAACTAAGTTTATTGAAATTATTTACTAATTTAAGAAATTTAATTACATCTCAAATAAATTGTTGTCACTTTTTAGTATTTGTGTATCACATTCTTTAAATATTTGGCTCTAAATCAGGTAACAATTTGAACAAAGAAGAAAACAAAAATTAAATAAGTGTCTTGAAAATAAATTTGAAGAAAATAAAAGGTTTGTTTGATGACCTAATTAAAATAATGTAAAGGATAAACAACTTTTTTTTACACATTATTTGGCAAAAGTAATCTTGACAAAATAATGTGCAGAAAACATATTAATTATAGCCTTGAGACACTCTTACTGACTTTGGCAGTATGACAACCTCCAGCACAGTCTCAAGATTCCCTAGGAATTTCTTCTAGGGAAACAACCCCTGGAAATGAAGCAGAAGGCCATGTCCACACACACTCACACACACACATACACACACATACACACACATACACACATACACACAGTCTCACCCCTCAGAAACCAGAGATTGCAATTTGCAGAAAGAGTAGGCCCTCCTTGGTGTTTCAGGAAGGGTCCATAGTTATCATCCTAGAAAAGGGAGCTGGACCTCCACTAAGGCCTCCTATCTGCAGGGACCTCAGAAGGCCCTGCGCGACTCCAGCCTAGGAGTTTGGTACTGTTCCTGGACCTTGAGTCCCGCCTCACTTGCTAGCTTTTTTGAAAAAGAAATCAGGATGACAACCCCAATTCAGTCCCACTAGAGGAAGGAGATTAAGAATATCAAGGCCCACACCCATCTTTTCCCATTGACTTATTGATTTATTAGTCAAGAAGTTAGAGAAGACTTATTAGTGAATAATTTAGTGCCTTCTAACCCCCTAAGATTACAATTTAAAAGAAAACCTGGGTGGCACCTGCATGAGGTTGTGCATTGGAGAAAGTATAGATAGTTCACCTGGGCTTCTGTGAGCACGTTCCCCTAGCCAATCAGTGAAGCCCTGGGCTTGGCAAAAGCAGACAATAAGGTTGGCATATAGCAGACATGCTCAGCTGTCACGTGGATATAAAGGGGCGGGCAGGAGTGCTCCCAGAGTGGGAGAACCCTCTCAGGGCTATTAACTCAGCCCAGAGTTTCCCCAGCTTTTTGAAGCAGAGGATGTACCTAGAGCTGCAGGGTGGGCACTCTGCAGTGGCCTGGTAAATGTGGGGTGAGCAGCCAGTCACCGAGGGGCTTTCATTGCCCATTTTTGGATGAGCAAATAGAGCCTCCAAAGACACAACACAGGAGGGGCAAAAGCAATGGCCTGAGGCATTACCTTTTTCCTTCACTGGCACCTGTACGCTTCAGATCTCTCTGGGCTTGCCTTGAGGAAGATGATGCCTCTTCTTCATGAGTGTAGGCACAAAAGCAACCAGTCATTTGTGGTAGAGCCATCCACAACCCCTTTTGTGGGCTGATTTGGGCCTCCTTAATCCACTGGCCTGTGAAACGCAACTGGAATTCCAGAGTCCAGAATTCACATTTGATTCTAGAACAAAAAAGTTTAGCACTCAGGCCAGAGCAGAAGTGGGCCTGTTAATTCCAAGACACAAGGCTCAAATCAGAGAACTGACTTGACTGTTCAGCAGCACCTAGGCAGTATGTGTACTGGTGTAAGCAGATTCCATTCTCTTCCTGTCTCCAATTATTTCACCTGCAACTTGTTATTTGTACCAACCATTTCTCTACCCCCATATACTATTTTTTTTAATTTCTGTGAAGAATACATGAACTAAGTATTAAGGGTCACAGTGCTCTAGCCTACTCAGGCTGTGCCAGGAAGACAGTTCTCTCAACTTTTCTTGACGCTTTGGAGTCATGAATAAATAGTACCACTCTATGAGGAGGGCTGTCACATACTCTCTCTTTTCTGGTCTCCATACCAAAGTAGTCTTTTCTGGTCTCTTTACCAAAAGATACACTGGAATGACAAGGAAAATAAGACACCAACTTTGCAGTTCTTTCTTTTAAAGGTCAGTCTCAGCCTGGTCACACTGAACCACAATTTCAGGGTCTGGTTCAGCATGTCCCACCTTGGAAAATAGTGGAACTGGGGCTCCAGAATGTCACGGTCTAATGAAAATCTGGAGAAGGTCACCTCAGCAACCTGTAAACACACAGTCACACCTGTAACAGACAGAAACTCTACCAACTAAAAAGTCATCGCATTAACTTATACAACTGTACCTGCAAAGTTCACATACATCAGGCCTTTTAGATAAACTCCTGTCAACTCAAAAATTCAAGTAAAAGCAAAAACTATTTTGAATCTAGAATCTCAGGAAGAAGAAACTCCACAGCCTGACCCAGCCTGTATGATGGACAAAACTGACAGTGTTGACTTGGGAATACCTGGATACTGACCCTGCATAAATAAATGCTTTTGATTGTTCATAGTTCCAGTGCTAAAAAGTCTAGTTGTAGTCAACCTGGAGATTACTATTTATCTATAAGGAATGTCTGAGCATCTGTTCTGTCTCATCTTGTGACATGGAACACAGGCCACACATGGAATTGAGGCTATTCCATTTTTGTTAAATGAAGGCTGACAGGTGAAAGTTTCTTCAGGAAAAAAGTGCCAGATAAAAAGGCTATACAAACTGCAGACTTTTTGCAAGTGGGCACAGTTATTCAGTTAAGCCCATTGACACTGTACTTTCTGCCCTCTATAGAAGTTTCCACTAAAAGTCCATATCTCATGTACTGGTTCTGAGTCTCTTCTTTGGCATCTTGATCCTTGTGCCATTTCAATTGGTGTTGAGTTTGACACAACTTACCCCATAGTGAGGAAGGATTTCAGACTCTGCTCAATGTGCTTCACAGCTCAACAAGGTATCAGCTATAGAAGGATGCAGTTGTTCTTTTTACTACTTTCATCCAGGCCTCTTTTTATAGATGCACAATCAGTGGAATACCAAGAAAGATCAGTAAGAAACACATCATGGTCAGAAGCAAGATTAATGCCAAAATAAGCAGTGACCACTTGGGAAGTAAAAGGGAGCATTTTTTTCTTTATCCTCTGGGCAGCCCTCAACTTCTTTTATTACTTTTTTGTTTCAGTAATGGTTTTTAAGCTCCATTTTGCCTCTGGAGGAACCATAAGCCATGATTGTTAAACACCTTTACTTAATCCTGATGCAAGAAATCTTTCTATTGACAAATATGGCCTCTGTGATTATGAGCTTATAAGAAATCTAAATAATGCACCACTTTAAAATTTACTAAAGGGAAATGAGTAAGTCTGAGGGAAACAATTTTCCTCAATTTCCGTTGGCAAGTTCGAAAAGTTGTGACAGCAGACAAATGTATAGAAGAGGACAGCATAGTATAACTCCTCATCGTGTGAGTATACAACCAAGAGTTTTTAATCCTAGCTGTAAGAACTCCAAGTAAAAACCAGAAGTTAACTCATTGCGTCTATCAATGATCAATTAAACAACATTTTGTCTATCATACTGAGGATTCTTCATTGAGGATTTTCCCATTGAAAATATAGAGATAAAGACCGGAAAAAGTAAAATAGCAACACCATGAAATCATCAGATGAAATGTAGAAATGTCATCTCCTAACATCATTAGCATTTTTGCAGAAATTTGCATGTGTATCTACCAATAAAGCTGATATTTTCACAATAAATCAGTTATATGTCAAGTGAACATATATTAAAAAAAATCAACTGGGAGTGGTGGCTCACACCTGTAATCCCAGCACTTTTGGAAGCCGAGAAGGATGGATCACTTGAAGTCAAGAGTTCAAAACAAGCCTGGCAAATGGTGAAGCACCATCTCTACTAGATATTTAAAAAATGACAGGCACTTGTAATCCCAGGTGCTTGGGAGGCTGAGGCAGGAGAATCACTTAAATCCATGAGGCAGAGATTGCATTGAACAGACATCGTGTCATTGCACTCCAGCCTGAATCATAAAGCAATTATCTGTCCAAAAAAAAAAGATACTCTTTTTAAAAACACAAAGACACACTTATGGTCTAGATATGCTCTGATGTGGAGTGGAGTGGGTGTGACCCTGTTCTGGGAAAAAAGAAAGAACAGTCAGGATCCTGGATTATGTGTGGGGGATCCATTGGGACACAAACAAAGAGGCAGTCAGGGCTTTGGCCTAGCAACACTGAGGCTTGCAGGGGCCTTCTGAAAGCAGCAGAAATGACCCATGACACTGAATGCTAGATGGGCCTGTAGCAATGGAAGATCTGTCCAGGGATCTTAGCAGTCTTGCTAGGATGCCCTGATCATACTTTTCATTGAAGACTCCTAGGGTACAGTAGCTGTCAGAGAGCCCCAGCAAACACGAGTCTTGACTGCTATGGCTGGGCCAATCTAAAATATCTCATCTCTTCTGTTTTACAAAGCAAAATATAGAAAAATACATAAGAAAAATCAAGAGAAATAAAATATAAAAATAAATGTAAAATAAGTGAAAAATGTAAGGACAAATAAAATAAACTGAAATAAAATAGAGAAAAATAATGAGAAATGCAATTAAATCAGTGAGATAAAAATTAAGATTAAGATAAACAATAAATACAAAAAAGAAATAAACAGAAATGAAATAATTTGCAGTAAAAATTTTCAGAATAAAGAAAAAATAAAAATTAAATAAGAAAAATTAATATGAAGGAATATGAAGAGAAATAAATAAAAGTAACAATATAAAATTAAACTGCTACAAACAAGATACAACTTGGAGTATATTGGAGATGAAGAGAATATAACGAGAAATAATATAAATTAAATTAACAGAAAAAATGAAAATAAATAAAAATAAAGAGAAACAAAATAAAGATGACAAATGCACAAAGAAATAAAAATGTTGAACAGAGAAATGAGATGTTAAGTTAATCTACAAAACACTTTACCCAACAATAGCATAATACATAACACTACTAATTGCATATGACACCTTTTCTAAAATAGGCAAACTTCTAAGGTAGCATACTATTTTTAGCATATTTAAACAGATGGTATTCACAAAAAGTATTATTTCTGACTACAGTAAAATATAACTGGAAGTTAAAACAAAACTAGCATGTTTGCATGTATTTGAAAAATAGATATATTCTTTACCATACTATTTTTCAAGAGTTAGAACATGCAAGATTTTTAGATATTAATGATATACAAAGTGATCTACACATCAGTGAGAACTCTTTAAACAATGATAATTTTTGCAGAAATACTAAATTATGATAAAATGTTTGAATCAATATTTACCTGTGTCACTCAGGCTGTAGTGTCATAATCATTGCTCACTGTATCCTTGAAGTCTAAAGCTCAATTGATTCTCCCACCACAGCTTCAGAAGTGCTGAAACTGCAGGTGAACGCCAGTAAGCTCAGAAAGTTTTTGTATTTTTTTTTTTTTAAGAGACAGGGTTTCACTATATTTCCCAGGCTGGTCTCAAACTCCTGGACTCAAGCAATCTACCTACCTTGGCTTCCCAAAGTTCTGGATTTACAGGAGTGAGCCAACAAATATTGCCCTATAAACACTCAAAAAAACCACAAGAAAGAAAACAACCTAAAAAAAATCTCAGAGGAATAATTGTTTTGTATTTCCAAACATATTGCAAAGTTACATTAGTCAAAATTGTGTGGTGATGGCATAAAGACAGAAAAATAATTGTTGAAACCAGTAAGAGAAGCCAGAAAGAAATCCACATGCTTATACTCAGCTTACCATAAATGAGGATTCACAATCCTCATTTTGCAGAACTTTCTCCTCACTTCAGCAAAATTGGGTTCTTCTCACATGACTGTGGAAGATGAGGCTCAGGGATACTCTGAAGGATGAGGAGTAGAGTTGATTGGGTAAAAAGATAAAAAGAAGAAAACATAAACTGTCAACAAAGTGAGTGGGAGTCCTAGGAGGAGGCCCCACCTTCCAGGTAGATTAACACTAAACTGTAACACAAGAACTGCAGAGGCCAGTCTTCTCCTTGAACAAGAGTGAACACTCCGTGGCTCCATGGCTCCAATCACTTCCCCCATTGTGGAGGTGGACATTATTCAGAATGAATTGGTTGAAAAAAGGGTGGCTTCCTCCAGGAGAAGCAGTCTGATTTTTCAGTCATTATGGTGTTTTAGGCTTGAAGGTGGGGTTTCACCCAGGACCATTTGGCTGTTTTCTAACTCTGTAAGTTCCCCATATAAAGAGGTATATCTAACTGCCATTAGAATAAGGAGAAGGATCAGGACAAACACCACTTTTAAGAGCTTCCTGCTAACAGGGGGCACTGTTTTGGAAAACCAGCAGTCAGTTTTTCCTAAAATCCCTACCTAAATGTCTCTAGTGAAAGGGGACTTGTCTGAGCCTCTGGTGGCATGAGTGTCAGAAGTTTGGTAGCCTAAATGTGAGAAGAATCAAACTGGGTTATTAAAAAACATGCATTAAAATGAAACAAGGAGAAGGTGTAAAGTACAGCGCAAAAATTCCAAGATATTTTTTCCAGTTTGCACAGGAAGAAGGGCAATGAAGGCACAACTTCAAAAGAAACTTTTTTTTTTTTTTACCCTTTTGCAAGCATGTCTGGCTTCTGTGTTCCTCTGTCCTGAGTCCAATCCTAAGCTAAGCCAACCAGTCTAAGCTTTGGGAAATTAACTATTCCAAACTTCTAGGATGCATCTGAGGTGACTGTCCCGTAGTATAAAGACATGAATACCTGTCTATAAACAGAGGACAGAGGAGAAAAAAAGGTAAAAAGTAAGCACTTTTTCAAAGGAGGCCCAAAATTTTAGGATGCATTTAAAAGGAATATAGACTGAAAATGAATGACTACACATCTAGAAAGAGAGAGAAGGTATTCCTGATTCCTTTATCTTTCTACCAAATATCCAGTGTATGTTGAGAGATAGAAGAAGGAATGTTGTCTTTCCCCCTTGCATCCTTGTATCCTCAAATCCCAGTGATTGTGATAGGGTGCAACCCATGGATGTCAAAGCAGCTTTCACTCATGTTAACATGGACCCCTGTTGGGGGTGGAAATATCTGCTGTTACCTACATATGTCATATCTCCCCTGCTGTCAGTAGTTCTGGAGTTCACTAGATCTCATTTACGTAACAGATAGTATCATGACCTTTATCCATGAAATGTGAGGCTTGGCTTAATCCACTGGAATTAGTCATGCTCTCCTCCACTGTGAATTTTAACCCCCATAATCATCTACTTCTGGGTTTCTCAGCTCCAGTATACTTTCTTAGGACTTCAACTTGAGGCTAGGAATTGAGGTTGGGACAAAAATGTTTCTCAGGGGATTGCACGGACTCCTTATTAATAGCTGAATGCTAAGATAAAGTTGTGGAATTTAGTCCTCTTTCCACAGGAAGAGAAAATAAAAATGTCTTGTGACAAACCCAGATAACTAGTGACAATAGTTAAACTTGCTAAGATGTGGGTGGGCATCCTATTTATTTTCACTACCTGAAAAATTTGCAGGATAACTGCCCAGAACCAGAATATTAAACCAGACTTTTACATTACTCATCCCTTTTTGTTTCTTCTGAGCTGCAGTTGAAGATTGCAAGTTATTTCACAGGAACAAGCATGGTTGATCTAAAATGTGGGCAAAAATTCAAACTCATGGTTTTAAAATTTAATGACAAATGCATAGTGAGTTTTGATACATAATCTTTCTCTGTCCAGTCCTCTAATTTAAAAAGACAAATCACAATAGGACTGATTTGTTTGTGAAATAAACTTTAGTCTTATATAGGGCCTAATTATTTGCATAAAGTGCAGCAAGAATAATTTTGTATCCGTAGGTCTTTTATGTTAGATTTGATGGAACTCTGTTCCAGAAGAAATTTCCGATAGGACTTTCAAAATTCATGCCAAGCAATTGGCTTGTATCATCAATTAATTATGACTTGGGTAATCTCCTGCTATGATCCCAAGAGAAACTTGGAGCTACTGGGCCTGTCAGAAAGTTTCATTCTTTACTTACCACAGATCAGGAACCCTGTGCAAGGACTGTGAAGACAAGGTATAAGCCCAGTTCTTCCAAGGGACTTTCATTGGCTCTGCAAGTAGAACTTGACTCCTTAAAGGAAAGCAGACCATTTTAGTCACGGCTTTGGTAAAACAATCAGTTTTTTTAGTTGTGTCCTGTTGTAAAAGAAAAGTTATTATTATGGCACTGATGCAAATAGATACATTGTCTAAAGTTAAAAATAGTCACAACTATTTTTCAAATTGTGCAGAAGCCAGGCAGAGAGAGAAAAACATGCTCTAAATTTTGGTCACAAGAGTACAACTTAGTCAAACATTAAAGGCTATAAGAAACTCAAAATATGTTTCCTTGACTATGATAAACAATACAATGATCATTAATGGTACAAGCAAAAGTGAGAAAGATTATTTTGGTTCTCTATTCTTCCAGTCTGTTCAGTTAACTCTTGTTTTGTTTCATAATCATGAACATTTTAGCTCTCCATGAGTCCTGTACATTTTTTCTGTTTTCTAATATCACAATCTTTAATTTTAACTTTAATTTTACTTTAACTTCAAATTTAATTAATTTGACTTTAACTTTAATTTAACTTTTATGTAAATCTACAAAGTTATCAGAAACCTGTATTTGAGAGCATCTGTGCAAAGTTCTATAGCTGATTCATCCTTTTTTTGAAAAAAATCAAAACAGGAAAAGAACTATCTGTGTATAACAAATGTCTAGGGTAATTACAGTAAGAAACATGATTGATAAAATATTTTGGCTATTTCTTTGACAAAAAAAAATTGTTTATTTCTGTGGTTCCAACAACTTAACATAACAACTTTAATTGTGGTTGATAGCATATACTTCAGATATTAGAATTTTAGAAATCCCAAACAGTTTTAAAACATGTACTAGCATTACTCACCAAAACATCATCTAAAGAATATTGAACACCATTTTGTCAATTTAATGTAACTAATCATGTCATATAATCCTGTTTGCCTCTCTTGTGGATACTCCATGGGCCCTCTGTATCATCTAAAAGCCAGAAATTCAGAATGACAATTTTATAACAAACATTGATTTTGAGAAGCATGTTACATGTTAGTGGTTTAAAACACTTAATGTTATGAAATAAAATTCCAGATTATCATAAATAACTTATTTAACCAAAACGATGACTTAGAAATGTAAAAAGCAGAAACTTTTAATAATTCTTCAAAAATTATGCTAAAGAGCAGATTATTGCATTAAGACTACTGTGCTGTTTTTATTTCAATGTTTAATTTACAAAATCTCCATATAATACCTTTAGAATTTAATTAATGTTCACATGAAGAATTTCTTTGTCATCATTTAGTTTTACAATACTTCTACAATTTGTTTGAACTGTTAACTTCATTTTATCTATTTCAAAACAATTGTTCAAGCCTAGCCAAGAATTTATATTACCATGACTTCTTATAATCTAAGTCATTTGTAAATATATTTCCATTGGTTTTGATTACATGTTGTAATGGCAAATTCTAGTAATTTTAACTTTAATGTAATGCCAGGTAAATTGTTGTTATTATGTACTAAGTGCAGCCAAGGTTTTGTCTCCTTTCAGCTTAAGGGTGTGGTTAATTCCATTTGTTCTCAGGCCTTACCAATTGTAAAGCAAAGTTGAACTGTTCTCTAAAACCAAAAAATCAGTTTATAACCTTAAAATATTTAGCAAGCCTAGTATCTGACCTGCATAATTTAGTGCACCTACTCATACATTGATGACATTTGTGTTGTTGTTTTTTTTATCATCTTTAAGGCTGTTTTTATGTCTCTAAGATGAAAATCATGTGAACTTAAAGGTATATAGCTTTTATCTTCCCTTCAGAAAATGTTTGATCCAAGGTCTTATCATTCTTTAAGTGAATTTATTAGAGCTCTTCTTTATAGATGTCACTCACATAGCACATATATAACTACACAGACTGGCAAACGAAAACCCAGTAGCCAATATGTTTTTTATTTGCGATTTTCCTGATAGAATTACTGGACTCTCATTTATGCAGGAGAGTGGCAAGCCCAAATAAAGAAAAATAATTCAGTTAGCTGAGAAAAATCCTTTCCCCAGCCAAACAAAAACCCAGAAGAGAAAAATATGTCTTTTAACCATACCTATTATTTGGATATGTACTTTTAATTGAGTTGAGTACTCTTTAAGAAAATCCTTTTACATGCTTATTACCTGATGCAAGAAGTACCAAGTAGCCAGTATTTCTGGCTTTCAAACTTTATCAGAGATACCTTACCAGGTGCTCAGAGAAGAAAAGGTTAAGGTAGTTTGTGAAGGGGAAGAGAATCTGCAAATAGCAAAATCACATGCTGATGTGAAACCAGAAGAGACACATTCCCTAAGCCAGAATTAAACCTGGGCCACCATCATAAAACTGAAGAGGCCAAAATAAAACATTACAACCTGGTGACAGGTCATGTTTCTAAAGCATAAAACAAGATGGAGGCCTGCTGCACAATTTTCTAACAATCATAGAGAATCACATAGAAAGCATGCCAGATTGGCCACAGCTCAAGATCAACCTCAAAAATACCCTTTCACGATTAAAACAGTACAAAGAATATAAGCAGTGATCGTTGGGGTCTTATCCCAGCAAAACATTTTCTATGAAGAAAAATTAAAAAACCCTTTTATTTAAAAGGAAACTGCAGACAGTGTGAAGAAAAACAACAACCATAAGACAATACAAACAATAAAAGACACAAAAACAAAAATGAAAGTCTAAAGTGTAGGGGAGGGAAGAAAATATTCATTCTTCTGCAAATGGTTTTTATCAACAGAGAGAAAAACAATTGCTTTTAGAGGAGACTGAATCCCTTGGCCAGTGAAGGGGTAGACACCATGAATGCTTGGCATTTTCCATCCCAGAGGAGATAAGGGTGAGGGCCACCATACATCTCTCCATGGGATGTGCCTGGGGCTTGTGGGGTGAGGTGGTGCAGTTTCCTCTAGCCTCAGGAGAAATCCAAGGATGAAAAGTCTTATAAACAAAATATAATTTTTTTTTTTTTGGTATACCTATTACCCCTCCTCAAGCCCCACATCTAGACACTGAAATGTTTTAGAAGTTTTTTTCTTTCTTTTCTTTATTTTGTTTTTTTTTATTATTATTTGTTTTTTGGAAAGCTAAAACCAGGATCTTGTCACATGATCAGGAGTTAATAGGCTAAAGGACACACTGAAGGGGGAAGAATAAAATTTATTGGGCAAAAAGAAAAAAATACAAACAAACAAAGAGAAAGAAACCTGTCAGCAAAGTGAGTGGGACTCCTTTTAATAGGCCCCTTTTCACAGGTTGATGAACGCTAGTTCACCACATGCCAACGAAAAAGTCCAGGCTCCTGCCCTGCCAAAAGGTGTGAATTTAAATGTCTCCACTTCCTTTTCCCAATGTAGAGGTAGATATTACTCAGTGAGAAGAGATTAGAAAAGGGTGAGTGTGAAACAAGCTATCCAGTTTTTCAGGCTTCAGGCTGTTTTAAGCTTGAAGATGGAGTTTTGGCCAGGACCTGTGACTATCTCTTGTCTCCATCACTCAAAAAGAGAATAGGTCCCTTGGCTATCTCCTGTCTTCATCACTCAAAATAAAAATTTCCCTTGACTATCCCATGTCTCCATTACTTAAAATGAGAAAAAGCCCCTTGACTAGCTCCTGTCTCTATCACTCAAAATGAGAAAGAAACAGTCTTTTTACCAAATTGGTTGGAGCGAGAGTGCTGTATGTCCGAATTACAACAAATAAAGTTGAACTGGTTGGGTGCGGTGGCTCACGCGTGTAATCCCAGCACTTTCAGAGGCTGAGGTGGGTGGATCATGAAGTAAGGAGATCGAGACCATCCTGGCTAACTGGTGAAACCCTGTCTCTACTAAAAATACAAAAACATTAGGCAGGAGTGATGGTGGACACCTGTAGTCCCAGCTACTCAGGAGGATGAGGCAGGAGAGTGGCGTGAACCTGGGCAGTGGGGCTTCCAGTGAAGCGGAATCATGCCACTGCACTCCAGCCTGGGTGACAGAGAAAGACTCTGTCTCAAAAATAAATAAATAAACAAATAAACAAACAAAGGTGACCCTTTCCACAAACATAAAATTAAAATTAAGTAAAACATATATTATAGCTCTTCTAAATATTTTTTCTTTAATTTTTTTTTCAGACGACTTATTGGTGGCATACCAAAATGCTTCTGCTGCAAGACTCTATCTCAAAAAAACCCTGCTTCTACTAATTTTTGTATGTTAATTTGGTATTCTGCCACTTCATCGAATTTTTTATTAATTCTCAAGATTTTTAGTGCAGTATTTTAGGTTTGCTATAGAGACAATCATGTGATCTGCAAACAGAGAAATTTTGATGTTCTAATTTTTTATTTGGATGTGCTTTATTTCTTTATCTTGCATAAATGATCTTTCTGGGCCTTCCAGTACTCTGTTGAATACAAATTGTAAAAGTTGACATAATTGTCTTGTTTCAGATCTTCAGTAAAAAGCACTTTCCTTTCCAGTTTGCTGTGATAATATGAGACAGGACTAGCTGGATTTCCTAGGCTGATTAAGAAATTCCCAATCCTAGCTAGGGAAGGTGACTTCACCTACCTTTAAACATGGGGCATGTAACTCAGCTCACACCTTACCAATCAATTAGTAAAGAGGGCTCAATAAAATGCCAATTAGGCAAAAGCAGGAGGTAAAGAAATAGTGAAATCATATATCACCTTAGAGCACAAGGGGATGGACAATTATTGGGATACAAACTAAAGCATTAGAGTGGGGGTGTCAATCCCCTTTGGGTCCTCTCCCACTGTAAGGGAGCTCTGTTTTCACTCTATTAAATCTTGTAAGTACACGGTCTTCTGGTCTGTTTTCTGGCTGGAGCTGAGCTTTTGCTCACCATCCACCACTACTGAATGCTATCATTGCATACCCACTGCTGAATCCCATCTCCCTAGATCTAGCAGGGTGTTCACAGCACTCCTGATCCAGTGAGGATCCCATTGCCACTCCTGATTGGGCGACAGGCTCATCATTGTTTCTGCATGGCTAAGTGCCTGGGTTCATCCTAATCTAGCTGAACACTAGTCACTGGGTCTGATGGTTCTCTTCCATGACCCATGGCTTCTAATAGAGCTATAAAACTCACCACATGGCCCAAAGTTCCATTCCTTGGAATCTGTAAGGTCAACAAACCCAGGTCAGAGAACAAAAGGCTTGCTGTCATCTTGGGAGCAGCCCGCCCCATCTTGGCAGTGGCCCCCCATCATCCTGGGAACTCTATGAACAAAGACCCACTGGTAACATTTGGTGACCCATATGGGGCTTTTCCAAAGAGGCGAGTAATATCAGACCACTTTCACTTGCTGTTTTGTCCTATCCTTTCTTAGAATTGGAAGAAAATACTGGGCACCTCTCGGCTGGTTAAAAACAATTAGCATAGCTGCCAGACTAAAGACTCAGGTGTGAGGCTTTTGGGGAAAAGGCTTTCTAATAACCCCCAACCTTCTGCATTGGGAGCATTGGTCTGCCTGGAACCAGCTTCCACTTTCACAATTATCCTGGGGAAGCTGAGGATCAACTAGAGGCAGAAAACTGTCGTCCCAAACTCCTGGCATTGGTTGGTCAAGATCATTTCACATCCAGAAGTCTCTACTCAGCAGTCACCCATGCATGCACCCCTACCTCTCCTGACCAATACCTCCTGGGTCCTGACCATGATTTCTTGAAAATGTATCAACAAAATTCTCATTACCTCTGAATCTATTTCCTCTGATCCCTGCCTCCTAGATACTAATGCTTCAGACTTTCACTTTCTTTCCCAAATTGAGTAATTAAAGGGTGGCACATATTCCTATAGTGGCAAATTGGAGCAACAAGCAACTGTACTTCTACTGTGTTTCCAAAATCCATCTGCAAAGAGAGAAAGGAGAGAGAGAGGAGAAAAGAGAGAGAGAAGAGAGATAGAAACAGAGAGGAATGAGAGAGAGACACAGAAAGAGAGAGAGACAGAGAGTAGACAAAGAGATACAGAAAGGAGAGAGAGACAGAGATGAGAGAGAGAGAGAAACAGTGGAAAGAGAGGACAGAAAGAGAGATAGGAGAGAGAGAGAGACAAAGAGGGAGACAAAGAGAGAAAGAGAAAGATAGAAGTAGTAAAGAAAAAACAGTGTGCCCTATTTTAAAAGACAGGCTAAATTTAAAACCTATAATTGATAATAGAAGGTCTTCTCCATGACCCTATAACTCTCCAATTCTACCTTGTTGTCAGTATAAACAAGGGCATAGCCTGAAAACACTTAGACCACTGACAACCCGTAGCCTTCCTATCAAAAATCCTTAACCTAGTAATGTACGGATGGGCCAAATGCATTCAGCTGGTATAAGCAACTGCTTTGCTAAAAGTAGAAAAATAACCTTTAGAGCAAACCTCATTGTGAGAACACCTCACCAGTTCAGAGCTATCCTAAATCAAAAAAAAAAAAAAAAAGCAAAAAGTTAACTTACTAACTCACAAATCTTAAAGTATGGGGCTATTCTGGTAGATAAATGTGATTTAACATTAACCACTGAAAATTCTCTTAACCCAGCAGATTTTGTAACAGAGGATTTAAATTTTAATTACCTTACAAAGATCCGACCACATCTAGGAGGAACTCCCTTCAGGACAGGAAGATAGACAGTTCATCCCAGGTGTTTGAGAAAAAAAAAAAAAAAAACACAATGGGTATTCAGTAATTGTGGAAACAGAGTTAGGAGAACTACCTAATAACTGGTCTGCTCAAACGTGCAAGCTGTTTGCACTCAGCCAAGTCTTAAAGTACTTACATAATCAAAAAACTCTATCTCAATCCTGACTCAAATAGGTTACCTACACCCTCTCTGAAGCGAATTTCCATAAGAACTCTTTATGGGAATGCATCTTGATTGGGCAACTGGGTTGTTATAAAATACTCAGGAACTCAGCCTAGCTCTAGAACTCACCCCTGAGTACAAAGGCAATGTTGGGTATGCTGGTAAAGGACCACTAGAATCCAGCAGCCTGGTTCCCTTTCTCTGCAGTCAAAAAAGGCAGGAAAAGGGGTTCAGAACTTCTACATCAGTGAGCATAACTAATCTGATAAGCAGAGGTCCATGGGTGGTTACACACCCTGGATAGAAACTCACCTCTGAGCACAAAGGCAATGTTGGGCATGCTGGTTAAAGGACCGCTGGATTCCAGCAACCCAGACCCATTTCTTTGTGGTCAAGAAAGGTGGGAAAAGGGGTACAGTACTGCTACATCAGTGAGCATCGCTAATCTGAGAAACAGAGGTCCATGTGTCGTTATGCACCCTGTAAAGGAATAAGCATTAGGACCATAGAGGACGCTCTAGGAACTAACGCTTATCAGAAAATGACTAGGGGTGTTGGCATCCCTGTGTTCTTTTTTCTGATGAGAATCATTCCCCCCAAGTCAAAAATGCCCCTATGATATATACTGGAGAATTCGGCGCAGTCAGAGTATCTGTACCTTTTTCCCTTTCAGACTTAAAGCAAGTCAAAATAGACCTAGGCAAATTATCATATAACCCTGATGGCACTACTGATGTTTTATAAGGGTTAGGGCAATCCTTTGATCTTACATGGAGAGACATAATGTTACTACTAGATCAGGCACTCACCCTAAATGAAATAAGTGCCTCCATAGCAGCAGCCTGAGAGTTTGGTGACCTCTGGTATCTCAGTCATGTCAATGATAGGATGATAACAGAGGAAAGAGAACAATTCCCCACAGGCCAGCAGGCAGTTCCTAGTGTGGATGCTCATTGGAATGCATAATCAGAACATGGAAAGTGGTGCCACAGACATTTGCTAGCTTGCATGTTAGAATAACTAAGGAAAACTAGGCAGAAGCCTGTGAATTATTCAGTGATGTCCACTATAACAAATGGAAAGGAAGAAAATCCTACTGCCTTTCTGGAGAGACTAATGGAGGCATTGAGCAATCATACTACTCTGTCACCTGACTCTATTGAAGGCCAACTAATCTTAAAGGATTAGTTTATCACTCAGTCAGCTGCAGATATTAGAAAAAAAAACAAAAGTCTGCCTTAGGCCCAGAGAAAAACTCAGAAACACTATTGAACTTGGCAACCTCTGTTTTTTTATAATAAAGATCAGGAGGAGCAGGCAGAATGGGACATACATGATTTAAATAAATAAATAAATAAAAGGCCACCACTTTAGTCATGGTCCTCAGGCAAGTGGACTTTGGAGGCTCTGGAACAGGGAAAGCCTGGGCAAATCAAATGCATAATAGGGTTTGCTTCCAGTGCAGTCTATGAGGACACTTTAATAAAGATTGTCTGAATAGAAATAAGCTCCCCCTCATCCAAGTGCCTTATGTCAAGGGAATCACTGGAAAACCACTGCCCCAGGTGACAAAAATCCTCTGAGTCAGAAGACATTAACCAGATGATCTAGCAGCAGGAATGACGGTGCCTGGGGCAAGTGGAAGCCCATGCCGTCACCCTCACAGAGCTTTCACTTGTCTTTCGATTAGGTACACCATTTGTTGTACCTTACTTGAAGAGGGAATTAATCTTGAAGTCTGGGCAACAGAAGTACAAAAAGGACAAGCAAAGATTGTCCATCCCATTAAAGTTAAATGAAAAGATTCTGCCTCCTTTCCCTACCAAAGGCAGTAAACCCTTAGACCCAAGGCTCAACAAGGACTCCAGAAGATGTTAAGGACCTAAAAGCCCAAGTCCTGGTAAAATCATGCAATAGTCCCAACAATGCTCCAATTTTAGGAGTACAAAAACCAAATGGAGAGGGGAGGTTAGTGCAAGATCTCAGGATTATCAATAAGGCCATTGTCAATCTATACTCAGATGCATCTAACCCTTGTACTCTACTTTCCCAAATACCAGAGGAAGTGAGTGGTTTACAGTCCTGGATCTCAAGGATGCCTTTTTCTTCATCCCTGTACATCCTGACTCTCAATTTTTGTTTGCCTTTGAAGATCCTTTGAATCCAATGTCTCAACTAACCTGGACTGTTTTACCCAAGGTTTCAGGGATAGGCCCCATCTATTTGACAAGGCATTAACCCAAGACTTGAGACAGTTCTCATACTTGGACATTCTTGTCCTTCAGTATGTGGAAGAATTACTTTTAGCCACCCGTTCAGAAATCTTGTGCCATCAAGCCACCCACATGCTCTTGAACTTCCTTGCCACCTGTGGCTACAAGATTTCCAAACCAAAGACTCAGCTGTGTTTGCACCAGATTAAATACTCAGGGCTAAAATTTATCCAAAGCCACCAGGGTCCTCAGTGAGGAATCCATACAGCCTATACTTCCTTATGCTTATCCCAAAACCCTGGATCAATTAAGAGGGTTCCTTTGCATTATCAGGTTTCTGCTGAATATTGATTCCCAGGTACAGTGAAATAGCCAGGCCATTATACACACTAATTAAAGAAACTCAGAAAGCTAATACCCATTTAGTCCTCCATGCCCACGCAGCAATATGAAAAGAAAGGGAATTCCTAACTTCTAAGGGAATACCTATCAAACATCAGAAAACCATTAGGAGATTATTATTGGCTGTAGAGAAAACTAAAGAGGTGGCATTCTTACACTGCCAGGGTCATCAGAAAGGAAAGAAAAAGGAAATAGAAGGGGACTGCCATGCGGATATTGAAGGCAAAAGAGCCCCAATGTGGGACTTCATTAGAAATGTTTATAGAAGGACCCATAGTATGGGATAATCCCCTCTGGGAAATCAAGCCCCAGTATTTAGCAGAAGAAATACAATGGGGAACCTCATGATGACATAGTTTCTGCCCTTTAGGATGGCTACCCACTGAAGAAGAAAAAATAATTTTGCCTGCAGCTAACCAATGGAAATTACTTCAGACCTTTCACCTAACCTTTCATTTAGGCATTGATAGCATCCATCAGATGACCAAATCATTATTTACTGGACCAGGCCTTTTCAAAACTATCAGTTAGATAGTCAGGGCCTGTGAAGTGTACCTAAGAAACAATCCCCTGCACTTCAAGCCATACATTTCAATCCCTGTACCTTTAACCATCTTGTTAAGTTTTTCTCTTCCAGAATCGAAGCTGTAAAAACTACTAATCATTCTTCAAATGGAGTTCCAGATGCAGTCCATGACTAAGATCTATCTTGGACCACTGAACTGGCCTGCTATCCCATGATCTGATGTTAATGACATTAAAGGCACCACTCCTGAGGAAATCTCAACTGCACAACCCCTACTACACCCCAATTCAACAGGAAGCAGTTAAGAGCCATCTCTGTCCAACCTCCCCAACAGCACTTTGGTTTTCCTGTTTAGAGAGGGGACTGACAGATAGGACAAGCTGGATATCCTGGGCTGACTAAGAATTCCTAAGCCTAGCTGAGGAAGGTGACCACACCTACCTTTAAACATGGGGCTTGTAACTCAGCTCACACATGACCAATCAGATAGTAAAGAGGGTTAACTAAAATACAAATTAGTCAAAAGCTGGAGATAAAGAAATAGTCAAATCATATATCACCTGAGAACACAGACGGGAGAGACAATGGTTGGGATATAAACCCTGGCATTAGAGCAGGAAGGGGCAACCATGTTTGGGTCCCTTCCCATTTTATGGTAGCTCTGTTTTCACTCTATTAAATCTTGCAACTGCACAGTCCTCTGGTCTGTATTTGTTCCTGCTGAAGCTGAGATTTTGCTCTCCGATAATCACTGCTAAATGCTGCCATGGCAGACCAGCCACTGACTTCCACCCCTCTGGATCCAGCAGGGTGTTCATGGTTCTCCTAATCCAGCTAGACATCCATTGCCACGCCTGATTGGGCTACAGGCTCACCATTGTTCCTGCATGGCTAAGTGCCCAGGTTTGTCCTAATCGAGCTGAACACTATTTGCTGGCTTCCATGGTTCTCTTCCATGAACCACAGCCTCTAGTAGGGCTATAACACTCACCGCATGGCCCAAGATTCCATTCCTTGGAATCCCTGAGGCCAAGACCCCAGGTCAGAGAAGAAAAAGCTTGCTGTCATCTTGGGAGCTGTCTGCCTCATGTTGGGAGCAGCCTACTACCATCTTGGGAGCTCTGAGAATAAAGAAGACCCACCAGTAACAATAACTGCTATTGATTTGTCATATTTTGCCTTAGCTGTGTTGAAGTACATAACATCTATACCTAATTTGTTAACTTGTTTTAATTACAAAGGCATGTAAAATTTTCCAAATACTTTTTGTTTATCTAGAATAAAAAATAAAGGTGTGTAGAAGTAGACTTAATTAAAAAGAGAAAAAGTCTCCACACAATAAATTATAAAACATTGGTAAAAAAGTAAAAAAAATAGATATTTTTCTCATGAGTTATAAAAAATATAGGTAAGATAGCTATGCTACACAAGAAATCTACAGATTCTATGCAAACTCTCTAAAAATATCATGAATATTTTTGTATAGAAATGAGATAAAGAGGCACAAAATTTATGTGGAACCAAAACAAACAAACAAACAAACTCTTGAAATAGCTAAAGTAATCCTGTGAAAAAAGAACAAAGCTGACAATATCAAACCACCTGAATTCAAAACATACTGCAAAGCTATAACAAGCAAAACAGCATGATAATGGCATAGAAAACAGACACATAGACCAAAGTATCCAGTGATCCCAGTAATAAAATTCATAAACCTAGAGCCAAGTAATTTTTGAGTGGTTCAGAACATACATTTAAGAAAAGACAATCTTTTCAATGAATGGTACTGGGAAAATTGATTATTTAAATACAGAGGAATACAACTAGGTTCCTACCTGTTACCATATTAAAATAATTTAAATAAAAATAAGTAGAAGATTGAAATGTAAACTCAAATGTATAAAATTATTTGAATAAAACATAGAGAAATTCTTTACCAAATAGGACAGGAAAAAAAATTTAAATAAGACCTCAAAAGAACAGGCAAGAAAAACAAAAGCGGACAAATAAAATTACCAGATTCTAAAAAAAATAATAATAATAATTACATAGCAAAAATAAATTAACAGAGTGAAGGAACAACTTACAGTGTGGGAGAATATACTTGCAAAATATACATATGGCAATGGAAAAATATAAAGAATATATGAGAAACTTAAAGCAAAAATAACAGAAAATTTAGTAATAGGCAAGAGACACCAAGTGACATTTCTCCAAAGAAGACATAGAAATGGCCAAGCGTGTGCAAAGATGCTCAACATTATTATTAGAAAAATGCAAATCAAAGCTACAATAAGATACAAAATGACTATAATTATAAATGATACCTGCCTAGCCCTTTCAACAGGTGGCATTGTAACATATCTATGGGCCTATCATTTAGGTAATATGACTCTCTTCTTCTGCCTGACATTACCCACAAGAGACACTGTGCCGTAGAGTTGGGCATAGACCCCCGAAGTTATGTGATTTTTCTGTGAAGAACCTGCCTACAAAGAGAATATTGGAACATTTCTGTCTCAGCATTTACGTTATGTGACTGTCATGCCTGTTTCATTACTACAGAGTAACATTTGACAAATAACTAGGCACAGCTCACAGGCATGATAATGACTCATATGTGGACCCCTGAAATAGGAGTAAGTTTGACTCATGTAACTTGGTTTAGCAATGCAAGTGATGTCTCAGATATCTTTCTGGTAAAAAGTTCACAGAAGATTATAGCAGCCTGAGATATTTTACAACTTTTGGCTTGTGCAGATAATGCCATAACAAAACCCAGCCAAAAGATGAAATTGGGAGTCTCATATACATATCCAGCTGACAGGAAGTATTGTCTGCATCTCATAAATATGAAGCCTACTGTGAAACATGAAAACAGGACATGTATGTTATTGTAAATCTCATCTCTGCAATATCCTCCAAGTGTGAATGTCATTCATATCTTGCCAAGCATCTGTGTGATTTGACTCTCCAGACAGGTTCTAGCACATATATGGGATTATAATCTCTACCTCATCCTGATCCAATGTCTAGGTGATGTGATTCTCCTGCCTGGTCCCTTTTCTCAGTAAGGATAATGACATATCACTGGATCTAACATCCAGATGATGTTATATTCTTGCCTGGACCACACCCACAGATATCATTGTGACATATTACTGTGTTCACCTCTTAGGTGATGTAACTCCTTTCTCTGGAAGGTGCCCTGAGCACAGAGGATGGGGTGACATATTGGTAGATCAGGAACACAGGTAATGATACATTTTGCCAGGGCTATATTTCAAGGAGGTCCTTGTGACATATCTCTGGGCTTATCACCTAGGTGATGTGACTGAATACTTGGGCCTCACCTGTATAGATCACTGTGACATAAAAGTTAAACCTGCACCAAGGTAATATAATTCTTTCACTGCAGTTCTGTCCTGCCTATGCCAGAGCCACAGAGAGTATTTTGAAATATCTTTGACTTATTCTTAAGTGTTTTGGCTCTCATCACTTTTTTATGTTTTTCAACATGTGGAATTGACATATTGCTGGTTCCAGCACCCAGTTAATGTGACCCTCCTTCCTAGATTCTGCCTAGAGGGAACATTCTGACATGTTGATTGCCACATCACCTAAGTGATGTTACTCTTTTTCTAACTTTTTTCCCACTGATGGGATTATGGAACATACCTTGCTCAGTTCACAGGCATGATGATCAAACCTATATTGGGATTCAGCCAATAGAAGATATTTTGCCTCTCATCACTAGGCTTATGGCAATAGAAAAAATTCTGGGTTGCATATTTGTACAAAGCTCATGGAAGTTTACAAAAACAATTCATTTTTGTATAAACTTTATGGGTGGTACAGAGAGTTTCATAACAAGGCCCAGCAAAAAGTTAAAATTTTGACTCTCAGTTGCACACCCAGGTGAAAGTAAAATTGTCACCATCCCACAATTACAAAGTATACTGCTGAGTTACTAAGTTTAACATGAGAAAACAGTACAAAAATGGAATTGTGACTCTCACATGTGCATCTGGCCTCAGGTGCGATCGTGACTTATTTTTGGACCCACCTCACAGGCATAAAAATGGTTCTCCTTCCTGAACGTAGCCCAAATGAGAGATGTTGACTATTGTACCTGAATTTAAGGCAATATATAAGATTGTGAGTTCATACAAGCATATGGGCCTCAGAGAAGTTTGCAAATATAATTCATGCCATATGAAGCCCTGGGATGTTGTAGACAATGTCATTTGGTGTCCCAGTACACATGTGACCGTGTGACTTTGTTATAGACCCCAAGCTAACAGTTAAAAGTGTCACTCTCAAAACTTAGGATATTGGGCTGAGTGTGGTGGCTCAGGCCTGTAATCCCAGCACTTTGGGAGGCCAAGGAGGGCAGATCACAATGTGAGGAGATCAAGGCTAACATGGTGAAACCCCGTCTCTACTAAAAATACAAAAAATTAGCCAGGCATGGTGGCGGGTGCCTGTAGTCCCAGCTACTCGGGAGGCTGAGGCAGGAGAATGGCATGAGCCTGGGATGCGGAGCTTGCAGTGAGCTGAGATCATGCCACTGCACTCCAGCCTGGGTGACAGAGCAAGACTCTGTCTCAAACAAACAAACAAAAAAATAGGATATTGTGTCATATCACTGGGCCAAGTACCCATGTGTTAAAACTTTTGCTTACATTGTTTCCCATGTGTGTATTTTGGCATATCATTGAGTAAGAATCATAAAAATGTGACTTTTCTGCCTGGGCCCTGATAGCAAGGGATATTATCACATTTCTCTGAGCCTATCAGTTAGATGATTTGCATATTTTTCCTTTGCTTTTGCCCCAAGGCACATTGTGACATTGCTGGTCATAGCATCTAGGAAATGTGACTCTCATCTCTTGCCTAGGTTCTGCTCACAAAAGGAATTGTGACATACTACTGAGTGCAAAACCTAGGTAATGTAACTCTCCTCTTTATTCTGGAATCAGCCAAAAGAGGAAATTATTACATATTGCTGAGCTAAGCACCTACATGGTGTGACTTTTTTTTCTTCAACCATGTCTACAGTTTACATGGTGCCATATTCCTTGAGGTTGTTACAATTTGACATGACTCTTCTGACTTGGCCTGCATGTGAAGGAGATTATAATGTATTCTGTGCTCAGAATCCAGGTAACATGACTATGCTGCTTTGTTTCTGCCCTCAGGGGAAATTTTGACATGCATCTGGGTTCAGCTTACAGGCACAAATTTAATTATCTTACCATTACCCAGAAAGGAGCGATAATTTGCCTCTCATAGTCAGCTTCATGGCCATAAGTAAAGAAATGAGTCACCTAATTGTATAAAGTTCACAAAGGATTATGACACTCAGGCATATCATATAAAGCCTGAGTGGTACAAAAACTGTCGTAACAGGGAACGCTAACCAGGTGTGATTGTGACTCTTGGATACACACCTAGCTGGCATGATTGTCATTTTCTCACAAGAATATTATCTACAAATAAGGTACTAAATCTCACACAAATGAGCAATTTAAGGTTGAAATTGTTCCTCTTATACACGGACCTGATTCATGAGTGATTTGGTTTTGCATGATTCTGCACACCTGTGAGGCTGTGACTCCCCCACTGGAACACAGTCTTCAAGTGGGATTGGGCATCTTATACATGGATCTTGCCAATTTTTGAGACTGGGACTCCTCTGCTTTGACCCAACTCACAGGAGGTGTTAACTCACATACACAAAGCCAGGAGTTGTGTGGGACTGTGAAACTTATTTCTGAATATCGTCTAGTGTGTGATTAGGACATAACAGTTATCCCAGCTCCTGAATAATCTGACTGGTTTTTTTAGGCCATGACCACAGATGAAATTGTGATATACTTGGACCATACACCTAAGCATAGGTTCTTGGGCCTATATAAAAAGGGCCCTTTTACATGTCAACTAGGACCATCTCCCAGGTGATGTGAATTATTTGCCTAATCCCTACCTATAAAAAGCACTGTGGCTTATGTCTGGGTTCATCATGTAAGTGATGTTATCCAATTCTAATCCCTTGGCCCTGCATTAATGGTGCATTGTTACAAATAACGGGGTACTGCTCCCAAGTGATGTGACTGCATTTTGGGTTTTGCCATCAGAAAGCTTTGTAACACATAACTTGGCTCAGCACAGCACCTAGGTGATGTTTTTCCTCTCTTGCCTTGCGCTGACCACAAGGGAGATTGTGACATATGGCTAAATCCAGCACCAAGTTGTGATCTCTTCCAAACATTAGTCCTGCACACAGTGGCCATTGTGACACATATGTACACCAATTGCCTAGGTGAAGTGAGTCCCCTCTCCTTTCTAAGCCCAGCCCAAAAGGGGAATTTTGATAAATCAGTTAAACCAGCATCCAGGTGATGTGACCCTTCTTCCAGAATTCTGCCCACGATGATTGTGACATCTCACTGGACCAACATCCACCCAGGTGATGTGATATTTTGCTTCCTCTGCGCTCACAAGGGATATTGTCCCATATAACTGAGACCAGATAAGAGGACTAATCATGACTCTTAAACCTAGAGCCAGGTCATAGGCATGATGGTGACTCCTATTCCTGGAATTTTCCACTAGTGTTATAGTGACATATACTTTTGCCCAGCCCCTGAGTGATTTAGTAATCCTGCCTAGGTGCAGCACACAATTGAGATTTGGACATATATCTCAGCTGAGCACTTTGGTGATTTGACTCTCCTGGCTTAACAGTATCTTTAGGAAGCTTTGTAACATGTCTCTGGACCCTCAATCTAGGTGCCTCACTGTCATGTCCCGCCTGGATTCTACTTCCACTGGAGATTGTAGTATTTCTAAGGACTGCATTTAAATGATATGATTTTCTTGCCTGGTCCTTTCAACAAGTTACCACTATAACTTATCTCTGAACCTACCATTTATTTAATATTTCTCTCCTCTTCTGTCAAACACTGCCCACAAGGGGTGTTGTCCCATACAGTCGGGCGTAGCCCCAAAGTTATGTGATTTTTCTTCTAGAAATTTGCCAAAAAAGAATATTGGAAGATTTCTGCCACAGCATTTAGATTATATGGATCTCATGCCTGTTTCATTACCACAGAGTAAGTTGGGACATATACCTAAGAAAAGCTCACAGGCATGATAATGACTGTCATATGTAGACTCCCTCCACCAAATAGGAGTAATTTTGACTCTCTTAACTTGTTTTAGAAACACAAGTGATTAAATCTCTTTATGGTAAAAAGGTCATGGAAGATTATAACAGTATAAGTGATATGGAAAAGGCTTTGTCTTGTATAGAAAGTGTCATAACAGAACCTGTCAGAAAGGTAAAATTGTGAGTCTCATATGAACACCCAACTGACAGTAAGGACTGTCACCACCTCACATATATAAAGCCAATTGTCACTAATGAAAACAGAACATGTGTGGTATTGTTAATCTTATCCTGGGAATTTTCTGCCAGTGTGATTGTGATGTAAATATTTTCTGAGCATTTGTCTGATTTGACTCTCTGACTGTTTCCAGCCCAGTTACGTTATTTCGAAATCAATGTGGGACAATCTTTAGGTGATTTGACCCTCCTGCATGGGCCCTACTCTCAGTAAGAATCGCCTGAACCATGCCCACAGAAATCATTGTGACATATCGCTGTGTCAACCACCTAGGTGATGTAACTCTCCTCATTAGAATGGACCTTGCACACAGTGGGGAATAGTGACATATGGCTGGGCCAGGCACACAGATGACAGTACTCTTTGGCTAGGGCCATGTCATAAAAAGGGCAATGTGAAAAATCTGTGGGCCTATCACATAGGTGATATTGCTCTCCTGCTTGGGTCCTGCTTACCTAGATTGTGACATATTGCTAGGCTAAGCAAACAGGTAGTGATAGTCTTTCAGCACTTCCTTGAGGCCATGCCTCAAGGATGACATTGTGACATATCTCTGGGCTTATCACCTAGGTGATGTGACTCCCTGCTTAGGCCCTATCCACATGTGGCATTGTTACATAAGGGCAGAACATGCACTTATTTGCTGTAACACTCTTGCCTGGGTACTGTCCTAAGGGAGCCTTGAGACATATCGTAGGTTCCACCATCAAGTTGATGTGACTCTTCTGCCTGGCTTCACCTCACATGTTAGATTTTTTCATATAAGGAGAGAAGGACTTAGGTGATATGACTCTTATTTTCTGCCTGAGCCCTACCTACTTGGGACATTAAGCCATATATGTGAGTCTGACTCATAAGTGATGTGACTCTTCTTCTGCCAGCCTTTGAAATGGGGTTATGTGACATATTGCTAAGCCCAATGCTTAGGTAATATGACACTGTTTTTTGTCCCAAGCAATGCCCAAGAAAATGAATTTTGATGCATTGCAGGGCCCAGCACTCAGATGATATTCCTTTTCTGCCTAGGTCAGGCATAAAGAGATAATTATGTCCTATTGCTGCCCACACCCCAATCCTGATGATGTAACTGTCTTGCATGTGTCAGAGAAACAGAAAGCATTTTTATATACCTTGTGCACACTCTGTAAGTGATTGTGCTCTCATTATTTGGGTGGGTTTACTTTTTCTATATTTGGGATTTTGTCATATTGCTGGGCCAGTACCCAGTTAAGGTAACCCTCATTTCTAGAGAATGCATTGTTACATATTGCTTGCCAAGTCCTAGATTTCCCACCTGTAGGAACTGACAGAAAAGTATGCTACCAGGCATATCATATAAAGCCTGAGGGATACAAAGAGTATCATTAGAGGCACCTGCAACCAGGTAGTATTGTGACTTTTGGATGTACACCTAGCTGACACAATTGTATTTCTTACACATGAACAGAGCCTACCAGTGAGGTACTAAATCTTACACACATAAGCAGTCAAATATTGAAGTTGTGACTCTCATACATAAATCTGATCCACAGGTGGTTTTGTGACATTTCAACCGTGATTCATCAGAGGTTTGGTCATTTGACTCTTCTACTGGAACACAATCTTCAAGCAGGATTTGGGCTACGATACATGGATCTTGCTCATTGTTGAGACTGTGACTTCTGTTACCCTTCAAGCCAACTCATAGGACGTGTTAACTCTCATACCAAAAACCAGGACTTGTGTGGGACTGTGAAACTTATTTCTGAACGTTTTCAAGGATACAATTGAAAAGTATGAGCTTACCCAGCATCTGAGTACTTTGACTATCATTTCTAGGCCCAGAACACAGTTGAAATTGTGACATAGGTGCACCAAGCACCTAAGCAAAAAATAACACTTTCTTTGGCAATGTGACAAAGGGCACTTTTACAGACCACTTAAACCAGCACCCAGCTGATGTAAAATCTTGGCCTTAACACTGATTCCAAAAAGCACTATGGCTTTTATCTAGGTCCATTACATAAATTATGTGACTTTTTTCTACTGCCTTGGCCCTGCACTTAGGGTGCACTGTGACTCATAACTGGTTATTCAACACAGGTGATGTGACTCTTTTTGGAGAGGATTCTCCCAACAGAAAGCTTTGTAACATATCACTTGGCTTAGCACCTTGGTGATGTGTCTTCTATTTTTTCTGGGCCCTGACCAGCACAGAGATTGCGACATATTGCAGAACCAAGCACCCAGGTGAGATCGTTCTCCTGCCTTGGTCCTGCACATAGGGGCCACTCTGCAACATATCCTGACCAACAGCCTAGGTAGAGTTTGTCTCCTTCACTGCCTGAGTCCTACTCACAGGCAGGATTTAGATATATTACTGAAACCTGCATCCAGGTGATGTGAATCTTCTACCAATATCCTGCTCACAAGGAGAATTGTAACATTTCACTGTACCAGTACCCACTCAGATGATGAGGCTTTCCTTTCTTCTTCCAACCCATGGGTTATATAGTGCCATATAGCTGAGACCAGATAAAAAGCCTAATAATGACTCTTGTACCTGGAGCCAGGATACGCAGGATGGTGACACTCATCTCTGAATCTTTCCACAGGGGTTATTGTGAGTTTTACCATCCCCATATCCTGAGTGATTTAATAACCCTTCCTAGTTTCAGCCTCCACATGTCATTTTGACATAAACCTGGACAAAAAACCTCAGTGATTTGATTCTCATGTTTTAACACTGTCCTCAGATGGGATTTTAACATATCTCTGAATCAATAATCTTGGTTATGTGACTCTTCTCTCCTGCGTAAACCCTGCTTCCAGTGAATAATGTACCATTTCTAAGCACTACATACAAATTACATGATCCTCTTGCCTAAGCCTTTTCAACAGGAGGCATTGTCATATATCTGTGGTCCATCCTTTATGTGGTATGTCTCTCCTCTCCTGCCTGGACACTTTCCACAAGGGACATTACACCTTAAAGCTGTGCATAGCCCACAAATTTTGTGATATTTCTCTTATGGCCGTGCCAACAAAGAGAATATTGAAATATTTGTGGCTTAGGACTTAGGTGATGTGTTTGTCCTGCCTGTTTTATAATCACAGTGGGGATGTGACATATTCCTAGGCACAGTTAAGAGGCATGATAATGACTCCCATATGTTGACCCAGCCAATAAGGCCACTTTTATAACAAGGTTGAGGGACATGAGTGATGTCCAGGATCTCCTTCTGGTAAAAATGTCAAAGAAGATTAAAACACTCACACATATTTTATAACACCCTTGCATTGTATAGAGAGTGTCATAACAGGGTCTAGCACACAGAGGAAATTGTAAGTCTCTTATGCACACCCAGCTGACACTAAAGGCTTTCTCCATCACAGATGGATGAAGGCAATTCTCCTACATGAATATAGGACTTATATGGTATTATACATCTAAGCCCTAGAATTATCTTCCATTGTGACTGTGATATATATCTTTGTCAAACACCTGTGTGATTTCACTCTTCAGACAGGTGCGAGCCTACAAATGGAATTTTGATATTTAACTTGGTCAACCTTGAAGTGATGTGATTGTTCTTCTTGGGCCCTGCTCTCAGTAAGTATTGTGACATCACTGGATCCAGCACACAGGTGATGTTACATTCTTGGCTGCACCATTCCCACAGACATGATTGTGACATACCACTGTGTCCCTCAGTTATGAGACAAAACTCTTCTCTGGAATGGGCCCTGCACACAGTGCAAAATAGTGACATATTCCTAGGCCATACACACAGGTGATGATATTCTTTTGCAAGAGCCATTTCCAAGATATGACATTTTGACATATCACAGGGCATATCATGTAAGTTATATGGCTGTTCTGTTTGGGAATTTCCTACTTGAATAGTGGCATAATTCTAGGCCAGGCATTGAGATGATGGTACTCTTCTGACAGGGTCATGCTTTAAGGAAGGCTTTGTGACTTATCTCTGGGACTATCTCCTTGGTGACGTGACTTACGGCTTGGCCTTGCCTACATGAAGCATTGCGATATAAGGATGAATCCTGCACTTTGGTGACATAACTCTCTTGCCTGGGTAATTTTTTTAAGAGGGACTTGTGAATATCTCAGGTACCTGGGCCAGGTGATGTAGCTCTTCAGCCTGGTTTCTACCCACATATAAAATTGTGGCATATACCTAAATAAGCACCTAGGTGATATAACTTGTTTTTTCTGCCTGAGCCCTGCTTACTGCTAGCTTGGCCTTATGTCTGAGCCCATGACCTAAGTGATAAGACTCTCTTCTTCTATCTTAGCCTTAACAATGGCAGGACTGTAATACACTGAGGAGTCCAGCTGCAGCACTTAGGTAAACTGACACCTGTCTTGTTGCTGAACAATGCCCACAAACAGGACTTTTGCTGTATATTTCAGCGCCCAGAACCCAGATGCTGTTTCTTTTCTGCCTTGGTCATTAATAAAGAGGGAATTATGGCATATTGCTTCACCCTGCTCCCTAATGATGTGACTCTTTGGCTTGTGCCAGAGCCACAAAAGGTATTTTGAAATATCTTTGGCCCATTCTGTAGGTTTTTTGGCTGTCATCAATTTGTTGGGTTTCTTCCTCGTGTGGTTTTTATTGCATTGTTGGCTGAAGACCCCAGTGTCTCTCCTGCCAGTGTACTACCCACAGGGAACACTATGACATATCGATAGATGTAGCATCTAGGTAATGTGACTCTCCTCTCCTGCCTGGATTCTGCCTGCTGAAGAAATTGTGACATGCCACTGAGTGCAAATCCTAGGTGACATGACTCTACTCTTTTTCCTTGACGCTGCCCAGAAAGAGAACTATTACATACTGCTGAGCCCAACACCCAGGTGTTGTGATTCTGTTTTTTTTTTTAATCTTAAAATCTGTTTACATTGGGTGTGGTGACACATTACATCAGGATGCACCCAGGTGATGTAGCTTTTCTGTCTGTTTCTACCCACTCATGAGATTGTGACATGTATCTAGGGAAGCACCTAGGCAATATGACTTTCCTTTTCTGCCTGGAACCTTCCTATAGGGGACACTGGGATATATCTATGAGCCCATGATATTAGTGAAGTTACTCTTTTCTCCTACCTGGTCTTTACAATGGGAGGATTGTGACATATTGCTGAGCCTAGCACTCAGTTTATTTGATTCACCTTTTTTTTTTTCTCAAACCATGCCCACAAACACAAGTTTTCATTTATTGGAGGGCTCAGCATGCAGTGTTACTCTTTTATCTGCATCCTGCATATAGAGAAAATTAGGGCATATTACTGGGCTCAGCAACCTGAAAATGTGATGCTCATGCCTGTGCAGGAGCCACAGATGGTATTTTGTTATATCTTAGGCCCATTACATAGTATTTTGGCTCTGATAACTTAGCAGTTTTTTTCCACATGTGGGATGGTGTCATATTGCTGAGTCCATCACCCAGTTAATGTGACTCTAATTCCTATACTCTGCCTCAAGAGGGCATTGTGACACACTGCTTGGTACACCACCCAAGTGATAGTACCCTCCTGCCTAGTTTTTTCCCCACATATGGGACTATTACCTATACTTGACTTCTGTTCACAGTAATGATGGTCAAACTTAACCTGGGATTCAGCCAGCAGGGGACATTTTTGCCTTTCATCATTAGACTTAGCACAATAGTTAATGTCCTGATTTGCATATTGCTACAAAGCTCACAGGACTTTACAGCACTAACTCATAATTTATAACCTCTTTTGGTGGTACAGACAGTTTCATGACAGGGACCAGCAAAATATAACATATTAATATAACATATAAGGTAACATATATATAGGCATGGCTCACAAGCATGATAATGACTCTCATACGTGGGGTTAACCAATAGAGGATATTTTGACTCTTACAACTAAGTTTAGGGACATATGTGATGTCCTTCATCACCTTCATGTACAAAGTCATGAAATAATATAACATTCATACATATTTTACAAAGTCTTTGGTTTATACAGACAGAGTCAAAGCAAGGCTCAGCACACATTTAAAATTTTGAGTCTTGTATGTAAACCCAGCTGACAGTAAGTACAGTCATCATTTCACATGCATAAAACCAACTGTCACACATACAAACAGGATACATGTGGTACTGTAAATCTCATCTTTGGAATTTTCTGACAATGTGATTGTGATATAAATCTTTGCCAAGAGCCTGTGTAATTTAACTCTCCAGATTTATTCCAGCTCATATATGGGATTGTGATATCTACCTTTGCCAACCTTGAGGTGATGTGACTTTCCTACCTGGGCTTTTCTAACAGTAAGTATTGTGACATAACCCTGGATCTAACATCCAATTGATGTTACATTCTTGCTGTTCCGTGTCTTCAAAAATTATTGAGACTTATTTCTGTGTTCCCCTCATAGGTGTTGTTACTCTCCTCTCTGGAATGGGCCCTACACAGATAAAGGATAATGACATATTACAAGGTCAGGCAAACAGATGATAGTATTCTTTCACCAGAGCCATACCCAAAGGAGGACATTAAAACATATCTCTGGGCCTATCACGTAGGTTTTTCACTTTCCTGCTTCAGCCTCGCCAACCTGAAGAGTGGCATAATTCTGGGCCGGGGCAGAGGTGATGGTACTAATTTGCCAGTACTGTGCTTCATAGAAAACATTTTGACATATATCTGGGCCTATCACCTAGGTGAAGGGACTCCCTCCTTGGACTCTACCCACATGTATTATTGAGGCTTAAGCAGAGAACCTGCACTGAGGTAATGTAATTCTCTTGTCTGGGCTTTTCCTAAGAGTGGCTTGTGACATATCTCAGGACCCAGCACCCAAGTGATGTGGGTCTTCTGCCTGGATTCTGCCCTCATATTACACTGTGACATATTTCTAGGAAGCACCTAGGTGACATGACTCTCCTTGTTGACCTGATTCTTTCCTACTGGGGACGCTGATATATAACTCTGAGTACATAACCTAAGAGAAGTGACTCTCTTTTTCTGTCTGGGCCTTCACAATAGAAGGATTTTGACACATTGTTGAACCCAGCATTCAGGGTATGTGAGTCTCATCTTTCTCCCTAATGATGACCACAAAAAAGTAATTTTGATGCATTACAGGGCCAAACACCCAGATTATGTTACTCTTCCACCTGGATTCTGCATAAAGAGGAAATTATGGCATATTGCATATTGCTGGGTGCAGCATATTTTGGATGTGACTGCCCTGTTTATGCTGGAGCCAGGAAACATATTTTGACATATCTTGGGCCCATTATGTAGGTGTTTTGGCTCTCATAACTTGGCTTGAATATTTTCCACACGTGGAATGATGTTATATTAGTGTGTTAAGAATCAAGTTAATGTAACCCAATGTCCTATACACTGCCTAGAGAAGGCATTGTGATGTATTGCTTGGCAAAACATCTAAATGATGTTACGCTCCTTCCTAATATTTCTACCCACAAATGGGATTATGACATATACCTGTCTTCAGTTCACAGGCATGATAATCAAACTTGTATTGGGATTCAACCAATAAAAGATATTTTGCCTCTCATTGTTAGGCTTAGGGCATTTGATAAGATCCTGGGTTGCATATTTGTAACAAGTTCACAGAATCTTTCTACATTAATTTACATTGTATAAGCCCTTTGGTGGTAGAAAGGGCCTTTAGAGAAAGCAGGGCCCAGCAACAAGTTTAGATTGGGACACTTAGTTACACACACATGCGAAATTAAAGGTTGTCATCATCTGACATTTACCATGCCCACTGTTGAGGTCCTGAGTCTAACAAGGGGATACAGCACAAAGTTGGAATTGTGACTATTGCCTTGGTTCCATGCACTTACAGTGCATTGTGAAATATAACTGGGCAAAGCACCCAGGTGATATGATTCTTCTTTTACGTTCTGCCAACAGGAAGCATTATATAATATATCACTTGACTCAGCTTTTACAAGATGTTTCTTCCCTTTTGCCTGTATTGTGACAACAGGAAGATTTTGATTTATTGCTGTGCCCAGCACCAATGTGAGGTCACGCTCCAGGCTTGGTACTGCACATAAAAGTCATTGTCACTTATATCTAGGCCAATTCCCTAGGTGAAGTTAGTCTCCTTTTGTGTCAAATTTCTGCCCAGAGAAAGCGTTTTGATTTGCCACATAGATGATGTAACTTTCTTGCCTTCTCTCTGGTCACAAGTGATATTATGCTGTATATCTGAGACCATAAGACAAGCCTAGAAACAACTCATATGCCTGGAGCCAGAATAAGTGCAGAATGGTGACTCTTATTCTGAAACCTTTCCACAAGTGTAATTGTGCCATACACCTTTGCCCAGTTCTTGAATGATTTAATAATACTGCCTAGGTGTAGCCCACAAATGAGATTTTGACAAATACCTGGGACAAGCATATTGGTGATTTAACTGTGTTATTATAAAAAGGTGCCTAGGTGGGATTTTAACATACTTCTGGACCAATCGTTTAGGTTACATGGCTCTCCTCTCTTGCCTGCACCCTGCTTTCTTTGGAAATGGTAGCATTTATAAACACTGCATCTAAATGTTATGACACTCTTGCCTGGGCCCTGTCAACAAGAAGCATTTTGACACATTTTTGGACCCAGATTTTAGGTTATATGACTCCCCTCTTCTGCCTAGACACTGCCCACAGGGGACATTTTGCCACATAGCTGGACCTAGAACACAAGTTATGTGACTTTCTGAAGAGACCTTGCTTACAAAGAGAATATTGGAATATTTATGGCCCAGCATTTAGGTAATGTGGCAGTTCTGCCTGCTTCATAATCACAGATGGAATTGTAACATATACCTAGGCACAGCTCATAGGCATGATAATGACTTTCATATATGGACTCAAACAATAAGGGATATTTTGACTCTTATAACTAGGTTTAGGAACATGCGTGATGTCGTGGATCACCTTCTTGTTCCAAGGTTACAAAATATTACAAGACTCACACATATTTTACAGCCTTTGGGTTATACAGATAGAGTCAAAGCAGGGCTCAGTAAACAGTTAAAATTGTGAGTCTTGTATGCATACCCAGTTGACAGTAAGAATGGTCATGATCTCACATGGATAAAATTAATAGTCACATTTGAAAACAGGACATGCATGGTATTGTAAATCTTATCTTTTGAATTTTCTGACAGTGTAATTGTGATATAAATCTTTGCCAAGCACCTCTGTAACTTGACTGTCCAGACTTGTTTCAGGCCATATATGGCTTGTGATAGCTACCTAGGCCAACCGTGGGGTGGTGTGACTCTCCTGGATGGGCACTTCTCTCAGTAGGAATTGTGATATGTCACTGGATCTAGCACCCAGGTGATGTTACATTCTTGCCTGCTCCATTTCCACCACAATTATTGTGACATATTTCTGTTTCCACTTCATAGGTGATGTAACTCTTCTCTCTGGAATGGGGCCCACACTAAGGAATGATAGTGACATATTGCAAGGCCAGGCACACAGATGAGGATACTCTTTTGCCAGAGCCATGCACAATGGCAGGCTCTGTGACATACTCTGGGCCTACTACCTAGATTATGTGGCTCTACAGTTTGGGCCCTGTCAACCTAGAAAGTGACATATTTCTATGCCATGCACACAGGTTATGGTAGTCGTTTGCCTGGCCTATGCTTCATAGAGAACATTTTGACATATCTGTAGACCTATCACCTTGGTAAACTGGCTCCCTCCTTGTGCCCTACTCACAAGGAGCATTGTGATATAAGCAAAGAACCTGCACATAGGTTATGTAACCCTCTGGCCTGGGTGATGTCATAAGAAAGTCTTATGAAATATCTCAGAACCAAGTTCCCAAGAGATATGGCTTTTCTGCCTGGTTTCTGTAAACATGTTAAATTGTGACATATTCCTAGGGAAGCACGTATGTGATATGACTCTCCTCATGTGGCTGAACTCTGCCTACTGGTGATATTGGGACATATCTCTGAGTCCTTGACATGTTTTGACTCCCTTTTTCTCTCTGTGTATTCATGGTAGAAGGATTTTGACACCTTACTGAGCTCAGCTCTTAGAATATGTGGCTCTCCTGTTTTCAAATCATGTCCACTAAAAAGGTATTTTGACCTATTGCAAGGTGCATAATCCAGATGTTACTCTTCTGCCTGGGTTCTGCATAAATACAAAATTATGGCATATTGCCTATTGCTGCACACAGCTACCTTAATATGACCCTCCTGGCTGTGCTGGAGCCACTGAAGGTATTCTGATATATCTTGTGCTCATTATGTAGGTGTTTTGGCTCACATAAATTGGCTGGTTTTTTTTCCACATGTGGGATTGGTTTCATATTGCTGGGTCCAACATCTAGTTAATGTGACTCAATTTCTTATACCTTGCCTAGAGAAGGCATTGTGACATATTGCTTGGCACAGCACCTAAGTGATGTTACCTTCCTGCCTACTTTTTTGCCCACAAATGGGATTATGACATATACCTTGCTTCAGTTCACAGGCATAACGATCAAACTTCTATTGGGATGCAATGAATAGGAGGTATTTTGCCTTGCATAGTTAAGTTTAGGGCAATAGATAAAGTCCTGCATTGCATATTTGTACCAAGATCATAGAAGCTTACAACACTAACTTAGTGTGTAAACTCTTTGGTGGTAGAGAGTTTCTTAACAGTGCCCAGCAAAATGTTCAGATTGGGACTCTCAGTTAAAAGTCAAGTTAAAATTGTCCACCATCCCCCATTTACAATGAGCACTGTTGAGGTCCTAAATCCAGCAAGGGAATACAGCACAGAGTTGAAATTGTGACTTTTATGCCCGGATTGGGCAACAAGGTGGATGCTGACTCATTTTGGTGCCCAGCCCACATACAAAATAATGGGTATTCTTCCTTAACCTTGATATTGGGAGATATTTTTACTATAAAACCTGGGTTTAGGGCAACATGTAAGATTGTGGGTCCATACCAGCATGAAGGCCTCAGAAATGTTTGGAAGTCTCATGCATGTTTTATAAACCACTCAGATGTTGTACAGAGTACCATACATTTACCCAGCACACAAGTGAGATTTTAACTCTAATGTACATGCTCAGCTATAAGTTAAAGGTGTCAATCTACAAAATGAAGAGACTGTGTCATATCACTGGGCCTAGTACCCAGGTATTGAGACTTTTTAACTCAAATACTTTCCCACAGGTGCATTTTTACTAAAGAAGCACCCAGGTGATATGACTCTGTTTTCCTGCCTGGGCCTGTCTACTGGGGACACTGAGATAAATCGCTGAGCCCATGACCTAAGTGTAGTGACTCTTCTTCTGCCTGGTCTTTACAATGGAGAGATTGTGGCATATTGCGGAGCCCAGCATTCAGGTTATTTGACACTCCTTTTTGTCCTAAACCATGCTGACAATCAGAAATTTTGGTCTATCACAGGGCCCAGCACCCATATAATGTTACTCTTTCACCTGAGTCCTGTATATACAGAAAATTATGGCATATTCTAGGCCCATTCTCTGATAATGTTACTTTCATTACTGTACGAGAGGCACATGAGGCATTTTGACATATCCTTGGCCCACTATGTAGGTGTTTTAGCTCTCATCTTTTGGCTGTTTTTTTTTCCCCCACATATGGGATTGTGTCATATTAGTGCATCTAGTATCAAGTTAATGTGACTCTAATTTCTATATCCTAACTAGAGAGGGCATTGTGACATGTTGCTTGGCACATCACCTAGGTGATGTTATTCTTTGGTCAATTTTTTTGCCCACAAATGAGACTATAACAAATACCTTACTTCAGTTTTAAGTCATGATGGTTAAACTTATACTGGGATTCAGCAAATAAGAGATATTTTGCCTTTCATTTCTAGGCTTAGGTCAATAGGTAAGGTCCAGTAATTCATATTTATACCAAACTCACTGAAATTTACAACACTTACTCACAAAGTGTCAACTCCTTGGGTGGTACTGAGAGTTTTGTAGGAGATGTATCAGGGTGGTGGAAAAATTATAGGAAAAACGCAAACCTTCTTGGAAGGCTGGGAGATATTCCAAACTCTTCAGAAAATAATTTGGGCTGAAAGCAGACAAATTCTCTTACCCAGAACCTGAAAGCAAATATTAGATAACAAGGAAATATAAAGAAAGTTATCTAGATAATTTGGTGTATTTATGTTTCCAGAAACCAATCTTTTTTTCATTCACATGAATGAACAAAGAATGCTGTCTAGTCAGGGAGTCAAAAATCTTACTACCCAAAAATTTTGTTTGTGTCAAGCCTTTGTCATTAATTCTGTACTACCTAAATGCAAGTGTCACTGGCTTCTGGGGGCTGCACTCTTGCTGTTGTTATGATGCACTCTTGGCAGCTGCTACACTGTATCAGTGGCTACTGCATTCTCTTTGTGGTGGCTGCACTCTTGGCTCCTGCTGCTGCTGCAGTCGTTGTTGTTGTTGTTGCTGCTGCTGCTGCTGCATGCTTGCCAGTGATGCTGAGCATGCAGTCCTTTTGTGGAGCTCTCAGGCAAAATACCTGTGTCAGCAAACTTCTTTCATCCATTGCTCAGCCAGAGTCCATGAGACAGACGCAGCAGGTGGTGTCCTGTGTGAGGAATGCTGCAACAAATCATGATGAAACCCTCAAAAATGAAGGTGAAAAGACTGTGCAGTGAGTAAGTCATTGATACCTGCTTGGGATTTCCAAATTTGAGGGAATTGTTCAGGCTAGGGTTTCATCATGGGACATCAGTTATTAGCTCAACAGCAACAGTATATAAAAATAGTGAAACAGCTGCTTAAAGCTAGTGGAGCCTCAGTTTCAAAGTCTTAATTAAGGAACCTAATGCAAACTGGGTTTTTTTTGTTGTTTTTTCATAACCAATTGTTCCCAGAAGGCACACTAAACATAGACCTCTGGGAATGAGTGGGCAGAAATCTTAAATAACATCAGGCACAAGAGTAAGTTTCCAGTAACATCTTTAATGTTATGAGCCTTAGTTAGGACTGATTTTGTCTCACTCTACACAGAAGAGAATAAGAAGAGAAGGGAGGAAGAATCATCACCTACCTTACAACCTCCTCCTCCTCCCTCAGTTCCACTATTTGAGAGTAAAAGTGCCACAGAGAAAATGGAGGTTTTCCCCTGAGCTCCCTCCTCCAATAAATTAGAGAAAGGACAAGGAATATGCTACAGATATGGGACCCTGTCTTAGGCAAGTGGCATTAGAAGGGGAAATCTTGTCCTGCCCAAAAATCAACAAGGCAATCATGTACATAAAGAAATAAGAAAAAGCATTAGAAAAAATGTAACCACTAGCCCATTTATGAGAGGGTTAATCAAGGTCACTTTACAGACTTCTTTCTGATAATGGGCACTGTTATTCCTCCCCTTCCCTGGACATGGCTCTCTTAAAATGCGATTTGGGGAGAACAGAAGCTTTTAAAGGGAGAGAAGTTACAACAAGCCCATGAATAAGCTGAGGAGCAATCAGAAGCTGGCTATATAAAGACATCAAACAGCCCTCGGAATTTGCCCTTTTTCTTCATTCAAAAAATGTCTCACAAATGGAGATTGTGCATGATTTATGGCCTATCAATGCTAATTTGCACACCCCTTCAACAGGAGATTCTTTTCACCCATGGCTATTCCTCAAGATTGGTCTATGGTCATTATTGACTTAAAAGGCTGCTTTTATACTATTCCCATTGAAGAACAGAACATAATAATTTGCATTTACCATAGCAGCTAGCAATAATGAAAGGTCAGCTCACAGATTTAATTAGAAAGTACTTCCTCAAGGGATGCTCAGCAGTCCTACTGAGAGAAAAGGCTAGCTGGATTTCCTAGACCAACTAGGAATTCTAAGCCTGGCTGGGGAACGTGACCACACCCACCTTTAATCCCGGGGCTTGTAACTCAGCTCACACCCAACAAATCAGGTAGGAAAGAGAGCTCCCTAAAGTACCAATTAGGCTGAAAGCAGGAGGTAAAGAAATAATCAAATCATATATCACCTGACAGCACAATGGAAGGGACAATTATTGGGATATATATACCCAGGCATTTGTCCCAGCAGAGGCAACCCACTTTGTGTCCCCTCTCATTGTATGGGACCTCTGTTTTCACTCTATTAAATCTTAAAACTGCACACTCTTCTGGTCCATGTTTGTTCCAGCTTGAGCTGAGCTTTTGTTTGCCATCCACCAGTGCTGGTCACCACCATCACAGACTCGCCACTGACTTCAGATTCATCCTAATAGAGCTGAACACTAGTTGCTGGGTTCCACCATTCTCTTCCATGACCTACATCTAATAGCTCTATTAGAAAATAGAGCTATAACATCCACCACATGGTAAAAAAATTTCAATCCTTTGAAACCATGAGGCCAAGAACACTTGGTCAGAGAACAAAAGACTTGCCACCATCTTGGAAGTTGCCTGCCACCATCTTGGCAGCTCTGAGAACAAAGACCCACCAGTAACACTACTGTGTGACAGTTATCACGTAAAGCAGGCTTTGATCCTCAGTAAAAAAGGATTGCCTAATTGCAAAATTATTCTGGCATATGTCATCTCACAATTGACACAATTTTTTCATATATGGAGTGTCCTACATTCCACAGGCATCCCATATAAACCCCAAGGACACAATATGTCCATTGCTCTCTTAAATATTGCCTCAGAAAACAAAGAAGAAGGAATATGAGTAAAGACCCTGCAACACTACTAGTACAAGTTTTCTTTACCCTTAATTTCTTAAATTTAAATGACAAATTTCAGCTATATAAAAGAACTTTGCTAAAACCTCTCAAGACATAAACCCCACAGTTTTATAGAAAGATTTGGTTAGTCATGTATGGTATGGTCCAAATAATTTGCTAACATGGGTAAGAGGGTATGCTTATGTTCACACCTCCTCAGGCCCTCTTTGAATTCCAATACAATATATCAAACCTAAACATAGCATAGCTAAAATGCAACCCGGTACCAGAAATAAAGGAAATAACCATGCAAACCCCACAGTCCCCCAGAATGTGGCTTATTTATACAACTCATGCCCCCAGACATTACCAGAGGGAGGCTGAAGAAGACAATTCAGAAGGCTGAGTGAATCCTGCTCTGGACACAGACACGATTCACTCCAGAAAATTTGTTCCTTGTTATGTTTTATTAACCTTTCTTATTTTCTTACTTTGCCTGCATCCCATATCTCCTACACTCTATTAGGCACATCTTTTAAATCAGCCTTTCTACTGTCCTGTTACTTAGACAGAAACCCCCTTCCCAGCTTCTAACAATGCAACTGCTTGGATAGAAAGTGTTAAAATACCCGCAGTGGGATTCGTTAGTAACAGCACACATTGAACTGAGGTGCCAATTAACACTACATGCCACTCCTTGATTGGAATAGAATGTTTATGATTATATTCATGTTTGTCTTCTGTTATTTAGTAATTCTAGGATGCAAAGCCAGAATACCACTTATAAGCACGGTATCTGACAATCCTGTTGCTGCAGACATCTGTAGTCTTCAGTAAACAAAACTTGATGAAAAAAAAAGAAAGAAAAGAGGGAGATGTAGGACATCAGTCAGGGTGTGATGGAAAAAATGATAGGAAATATGCAAATTTTCCTGGAACACCAGGACTTCTTGCAAAACTTTGGAAAAGAATTTTCTCTGAAGGCATCCAAACTCTCTTACTCAGAGCCTGAGAGTAAAGGGAAGATAATGAGGGAATGCAAAGGGGCTTATCTACATACATTGGTTTACATATGTCTCCAGAAACCAACCTTTGATCATTTGCATGCAGGACTGCTCTCTAATCGAGAAGTGGAAAATGTTTATTAAACACAAACTGGGTTTGCTCCAAGCCTTTGTTATTAAATCTCTACTAAATAAATTTGAGCGTCACCGGATGTTCACCGCTGCACTCTCAGCTACTGCTGCTCTACACACTTTGCTGCTGTTGCAATTATACTCTCTCAGCAGCTGCTGAATCCTTTTGGTGGGTCTTGCACTCTCTTCATAGTGGCTACAGTCTCAGCTACTCCTTCTCCTGATGCTGTTGCTGCACTCTCATCGACAGTGTTAAACATACAGTCAGCTAACCACACTCTCAGGAAAAATACATGTGTCAGTGATATTCTTTCATCCATCACTTGGGCTGTTTCTGTGGGGCAGACTTGGCAGGGTTTTATGAAAAAGACCTGCATAAAGCTCAGATTGGGACTATTGATTACACATCCAGGTAAAAGCAGATGTTGACACCATCCCATGTGTCCAAAACACACTGTTAAGGTCCTGATTCTAACAAGTGAATTCAGTACAAGTTGGTATTGTGCCCATATATGGATCTGGCCACAGGTCAGATGGTGGCTCATTTCTGGATCCAGCTCATAGGCATAATAATGGTTTTCATACCTGGACCCAGCCTACAGCAGAGATACTGACTATTATTTGTGGTTTTAGGGCAGTATGTAAGATCGTGAATCCATAGGAGTATGAAGTTCTCCAAATGGTTTTCAAATCTCATGCATGCTGTATAAAGACTTAATATGTAGTACATATTAAGGTTCATACAACAACCCAGGAAACACATGAGATTGTGACTCTCATATACACATTCAGCTCAGAGTTAATGGTGTCACCCTCAAAGACAAGAAGATTTGGCATATAACTAGGCCTAGTACCCAGGTGTTGAGAATTTTTGGTTTAAATTTCTTCTCTTGGGTGCATTGTGGCATATCTCTGGGTTAGAATCATAATAATGTGACTCTTCTGTGTGGAACCTGCCAACAGGGTATATTGTCACATATCTCTTGGACAATAAGTTAGGTTATTTGTCTCTCCTGCCTGTGTCCTGCCCCCAGAGGAAACTGTGAAATATGATTTGACTTAAAAACTTGGTAAAGTGACTCTCCCCTCCTGCCTGGGTCCCACTTACCAAATAAATTGTGACATACCTCTGATTGCAAAACCTAAGTGATGTTACTTTCCTTCATATTCTATACTTTGCCAAGAGGAAAGTTTATTACATACTGCTGACCCCAGCATCTAGGTGGAGTGATTCTCTCTCTCTCTCTCTTTTTATTTATTTATTTTTTTAAGACAAAGTCTCTCACTCTTGCCTGGCCTGGAGTGCAGTGGTGCAATCTCAGCATACTGCAACCTCTGCACCACAGGTTAAAGCAATTTGCTTTCCTCAACCTCCCATGTAGCTGAGATTACAGGCACCACCATCATGCCCTGCAATATTGCTGTATCTATGTATCTATGTATGTATGTATGTATGTATGTATGTATGTATGTATGTATCTATCTATCTATCTATCTATCTATCTATCTATCTATCTATCATCTATCTATATAGTGTTTTTAGTAGAGATGAGGTTTCACTATGTTGGGCAGGCTGTTCTCTAACTCCTGAGCTCATGATCTCCCCACTTTGGCCTCCCATAGTGCTGGGATTACAGGCATGAGCCACCACACCTGGCTGACTCTTCTTTTCTTCTTCACTGTCTATAGCGGGCTTGGTGAAATACTATTTGAGGCTGTAACCAGGTAATGTGACTCTTGTTATTAGGCCCAGCTTAGTAATGAGATTATAGTGTATCACTGACTCAGCACCGAGTTGATGTGACTCCCTTGCCTTGTCTCTGCTCACAGGTGAAATTGTGACGTATGCCTTGGTTAAGCACAGATGCACTACATTAAATTTCGTCTCTGGACCCAGCCAATAGAGATATTTTGGCTCTTATAGCCATTCTTATTGATAAAGAAAAAGTCCTGGGTTTTTAACTTGTATAAAGTTCACAAAGGATTATAACAGTCAGGTATGTCATCTAAACCCTGTATGGTACAAACAGTGTCATAACAGAGAGCAGCAATCAGGTAAGAATGTGACTTGTATGCACACCTAACTGATACAATTGTGATTCTTACATATTAACAGGGCCTAGTAATGAGGCACTAAACCTCACACATAAAAGCTGTCAAAGATTGAAATAATTACTCTTATACATGGATTAAATTCACAGGTGTTTTGGTCATATTTGAACCATGATTCAGCCTGTCTCTGGTGCTGTGAGTCCCCTACTGGAACACAATCTTGAAATGGGATTGCAACTCCTGTGCCTGCATCTTGCCCATTGTTGAGATTGTGACCCATAGTTCCACCAAACTCATAAAAAGTATTGACCCACATACAGGAAACCAGAACTTATGTGGAATGTGAAACTTATTTGTGAACTTTTCTGAAAGTGTGACTGGGACAGGCAACTTTTACCAGCACATGAATGATATGACTCTTTTTCTAGGCCCAGACCGCAGATGAAATTATGCCATAAGTATAACAAACACCTATGCAATATATAGCATTTATCATGGTTCTGCCTACAAAGGGAATTTTTATATATTACTCATATTGTTACCCAGGTTATGTAAATTATCTGCCCAAAACCTGATTACAAAGAGAATTTATGTTTTATATCTAGATCCATCACATAAGTAATGTGACTCTCTTCTATTGCCTTGGCCCTGCACTTACAGTGCATTGTGACACATAACACTGTACCCAGGTGATGTGATTCTTTCTCAAGGGCTCTGCAAACAGAAAACATTGTAACATATCGCTTGGCTGAGCACCTAGCTGATGTTTGCCCACTTTAACCTGTACGCTGACCACAGGGAGTTTGTGACATATTGCTGGTCCCAGCACAAATGTGAGGTCACTCTGCAGCTTTGGTACTGCACAGAACAGACATTGTGACATATATCTAGGCCAATTGCCCAGGTGAAGTAAGTCTCTTTCTTGCCAAAGTCTTGCCCACAGATGGTGTTTTCATATGTCACTGAAATCAGCATTCAGGTGATGTGACTTTTCTGCCTGTGTCCTGTCCAAAAGGTAAATTGTGACATCACACTGGAGCCATACCCACATAGGTAATGTGAATTTCTTGCCTTCTCTCTGGCCACGTGACATTGTGCCATATACCAGAGACCACAGCAAAAGCCTAATAACAGCTTATAGGAGTGGAGCCAGGACGTATACAGGTTGGTGACCTTTATTCTTAAACCTTTACAGAAGTGTAATTGTGACTTATACATTTACCCAGCTCTTAAGTGATTTAATAATTCTGCATAAGTGTAGCCTACAAATGAGATTTTTCACAAGAACCTGAGCCAAGTAACTTGGTGATTTGACTGTGCTATCTTAACAATGTCCTCAAGGGGATTTGTAACATATTTCTGGACCCATCATCTAGGTTACACAACTCTCCTCTCCTGCCTGTAACTTGCTTCCTTTAGTAATTGTAGCATTTCTAAACACTGTGTCTAAATGATACGACTCTCTTGCCTGGGCCCTGCCAACAGTAGGCATTGTGACATATTTTGGGGCCCATCTTTTTGATGATAGACTCTCCTCTCCTGCCTGGACAGTGCCCAAAAGAAACATTAGGACACAGAGCTGGACCTAGCACACAAGTATGATATTTCTGACAGAACCCTGACTACAAATAGAATATGGAATACTTCTGGCCCAGAACTTAGATGATGTGCCTGTTCTGCCTGTTTCATAAACGCAGAGGGAATTGAAATCTATACCTAGGCATGGCTAAGAGGGATGATAATGACTGTCATATGTGGACTCAGGCAAAGATGCAATTTTGACTTCTATATCTAGTTTTAGGGACATGCCTGATGCCCTGGATCACCTTTTATAGAAAGGTCACAAAAGATTATAACACTCATACATATTTTACAAAGTTTTTGGGTTATACAGAAGGAGTCAAAGCTGGGATCAGCACACAGGTGATATTGTTAGTCTTGTATGCACATCCATCTCACAGTAAGAACTGTCATTACCTCACATGGATGAAGTCAACTGTCAAAGATGAAAACAGGACATGTTTGGTATTGTAAATCTCACCTTTGGAATATTCTGGCAGTGTGATTTTGATATAAATTATTGCCAAGCACTTGTGTAATTTGACTCTCTAGACTTCTTTCAGTCCATATATGTGATTGTGATATCTACCTAGGCCAACCTCAAAGTTTTGTGACTTTCTTGCCTGGGTCCATCTCTCGGTAAGGATTGTGTCTTATCACTGCTTTTAGCACCCAGGTGATGTTATATTTTTCCCTCTGCCATGCCCACAAAAATTATTGTGATATATCTTTCTATTCACCCCACAGGTGATATAACTCTTCTCTCTGAAATGGGCCCTGCACAAAGGAAGTAGAGTGACATATTGCAAGGCCAAACACACAGATGAGAGAATTATTTTGCCAGAGTCATTCCCAAAGAAATGCATTGTGACATATCTCTGGGCCTGTCACCTAGGTTATGTGGGACTCTTGCTTGGGTCCTGTGAACCTGGAGAGTGACATTTCTAGGCCAGGTACACAGGCCTAGTTTCCAGTGCTATGCTTCACAGAAGACATTGTGACACATCTCTGTGCATATCCCCTAGGAGATGTGAGTCCCTTCTTGGGTCCTACCCACATGGGGCAGTCTGGCACAAGAAGAGAACCTTCAGCTAGGTGATGTAACTCTCTTTGTTCTGTGTTTTGTTAAGAGATCCTTGTGAAATACCTCAGGAACTAGCACTTGAGTGATGTGGCCCTTCTGCCTGGATGCTGCCCTCATATTGCACTGTAACACATTCCTAGGGCAGCACCTAGGTGATATGATTCTCCTCATCTGCCTGAGCCCTGCCTACTTCGGACACTTTGAAATATCTCTGAGCCCTTGACCTAAGTGATGTGACTGTCTTTTTCAACCTGGGCCTTCAAAATAGGAGAATTTTGACATATTGCTGAGCCCAGCAGTCAGGACATTGACCCTCCTGTTTTTCTGGAATTATAACCAGAAAGAAGGAATTCTGACCTATTGTGTGGCCCAATACCATGTAATTTTTTTCTCTTCTTCCTAGATCGTGCATAAAGAGAAATTATGGCATATTGCATATTGCTGGGCCCAGCACCCTTATGATGTGACTCTTCTGCCCATGACAGAGCCACCGAATATACATCGACATATCTTTGGCCCATTATGTAAGTGTTTTGTGTCTTATAACTTGGCTTGATATTTTCCACATGTGGGATGTTGTTCAATGCTGAGTCTAGCATCAAGTTACTGTGATCCAATTTTTTTATACCCTACCTAGAGGAGGCATTGTGACATATTGCTTAGTACACCATCTATGTAATGTTAACCTACTGTCTTGTTTTTTGCTCACATATGGAATTATGACATATACCTTGCTTCAGTTCCCAGGCATGAAGATGAAACTTACATTGGGATACAGCCAATAGGAGATATTTTTCCTCTCATTATTTGTCTTAAGGCAATATGTAAGGTCCTGGGTTGCATATTTGTACCAAACTCACATTAGCTTACAACACTAACTTATATTGTATAAACTGTTTGGTGGTAAAGAGTTTCATAACAGGGTCCAGAAAAAGGTTCAGAATGGAACTCTTGGTTACACACCATAGTGAAATTAAGAGTTGTCACCATTCCACATTTGCAGTGCCCACTCTTGAGGTCCTGAGCCTGACAAAAGAATACAGCACACAGTTAAAATTGTGACATTTTTATGTGGATTTGGCCACAGGGGCGATGGTGACTCATTCTGGACCCAGCCCACAGGCACAATAATGGATCTTCTCCCTTAAACCTGCCTATAGATGTTGACAATACAACCTGGTTTAGAGCAATATATAATAACGTGTTGGTCACTTTAAACAGCATGGACATATTCACAACATTAGGTCTTCCAATCATTGTAAAACAACATGACAAAAAGGGCGCTGTAGCTGGGTGTAGAGGCTCATGCCTCTAACCCAGCACTTTGGAAGGCCAGGGAGGGCACAGGGCTAGTTCAGGAGATCGAGACAATCCTGGCCAACATGATGCAACACTGTCTCTACTAAAATACATAAAATTGGCTGGGCAAGATGGTGCATGCCTGTAATCCCAGCTACTTAGGAGGCTGAGGCAGAAGAATCACTTGAACCTAAGAAGTGAAACTTGCAGTGAGCTGATATTGCTCCACTGCACTTCAGCCTAGTGAAAGAGTGATACTCCTTCTCAACAAAACTAAACTAAACAAAACAGGAAACTGTGTTGTTTAATCTTTATAAGTTTTGAATTTTTCAGCTTTTCTGCTGTTACTGTGTACTAGTTTCTTTCCTCTTGGGCTACAAATAATTGTAAAATTTTAGTTAAAAAATTATTAAGGCTTCTTATGTCGTGTCACATGTGGTCCATCTAGAACAATGTTTTATAAGCTATTGAAAAGAATGTGTATTCTGTTGTCTGTATACATTTGTTAGGTGTAATTATTGTATAATGCATTCAAATTTTCCATTCCTTCATTGATATTCTGTCATGCTTCATTTATTACTTAGAGTGAAATATTGATGTATTATTCCATTATTATATTGCTGTCTATTTTGGTTTCAATTCTGTCAATGTTTGCTTTATGTGTTTGGGAAAATTGTCAGATATTTATAAGTTCTTAGTGAATGAACCCTCTTATTATAATTGAATGTCCTACTTTGTCTCTTGTAAATTATGACTTAAAGTAAATTATATGAATTATGGAAGTTTTCACCTTAATAAATTGTTGCCTCTTCACCTCTCATTTGGTTAACACTTGCGTGAAATGTATTTTTATCCTGCCATTTTTAGTCTTTTTTTATTAGATATGAGTGAGTCTTTTCGAAGACATGACATAGTTAGCTGTTAATATAGATCATATTATATTTAGAGCTTTTTTTTCATTTTGAAGGATACTGTTGCAAAATATAGTATTTTTGCTTACACCTTTTTCTTTCAGGGTTTTAACTATGTCATCCGACCCCCTTCTTGCTTGAAAGATTTATGTTCATACATTTACTGGTAATCTTGCAGAAGCATGAATATAAATAATACATCTGTTTTTTTTCTTCCTGCATTTCTCATTCTCTTTTCTGTGACTTTCAAAACTTGTGTCTTGTAAATCTCTCTTACATTAATTTTATTTGAAATTTGCTGAGCTTACTGATTTTCTCATATTTTTTCTAATGTTGAAGGGAATATTAATCTTTTTTGTACTTCCACTCTACGATTTTTATTTCTTTTTGAGCTTTATATTTTTTGTTGGTTTAATTTATGTTATTTCACTTATTTCCATTTTCTTAATTTCTTTATTTCCATTTTATTCATTGAGCATCAGTGAGATGGTAATGCTAACTTTTAAGGGTAATTTATTTTTTTTTCTTTTTAAAAATGTATCTGGACTTTAACTCAAATTGTCTCTGGTAATTTTTACATCACCTTTTTTTAGTTGATTTCTGGATATATATTTTTATATTTAAATTAACCATATTATCTTGATGTTTTGAATATGTTGTAATCTTAGGTTGCAATTTGTATAATAAAAAGTGGCATCAAAATCTTTATTAAGTTTTTTATTGTCTGGGGGAATATAATACAAATTTTTTAGGCTAGATATTCTTGGGTCTCTGAAGCCTATTCTATGGATGCTTTGTCTGAGTTTGTGTGTTTTTCAGTTTAAAAAATTTTCCCTTGGGAGGCTGAGGTGAGTGAATCATCTGAGGTCAGGGGTTCGAGACCAGCATGGCCAATATGGCAAAACCCCATCTCTACTAAAAATACAAAAATGAGCCAAGTGTGGGGGTGAGCTCCTGTAATCCCAGCTACTGGGGAGACTGAGGCAGGAGAATCACTTGAACCTGGGAGGCAGAAGTTGCAGTGAGCCAAGCTGCCTTCCAGCCTGGGCAATAAGAGCAAGGCTCCATCTCAAAAAAAAAAAAAAAAAAAAAAAAAGAAAAAAGTTTTCCATGTTTTTTCTTCTTTTCTTTTCGTTTCGTTTCATTTCGTTTCATTTCTTTTCTTTTCTTTTCTTTTCTTTTCTTTTCTTTTCTTTTCTTTTCTTTTCTTTTCTTCCTCTCTCTCTCTCTCTCTTTCTTTCTTTCTTTATTTTTGAGTGGGAGCTTCACTCCTGTTACACAGGCTGGAGTGTAATGGCACAGTCTGGGCTCACTGCAACCTCCAACTCCTTGGTTAAAGCGGTTTGCCTGCCTCAGCCTCCTGAGTAGCAGGAATTACAGAAACCTGCCACCACGCCCATCTAATTTTTGTATTTTTAGTAGAGACAAGGTTTAACCATGTTTACCTTGCTGGTCTTGAACTTTTCACCTCTGGTGATCTGCCTGCCTCAGCCTCCCAAAGTGCCAATATTACAGGTGTGGGCAACCACTCCCAGCATTCCCCATGTTTCTTATTGAAATCCTGTTGTCAGTTGCTATACCCATTGTCTGTCTTTGATACTAAAGTCTTTCTTCACTTGTAACAGTCATTTATCTTTGATCTTAGATATCCAAAACTGTCAGTTACCAACTTTCCTTTCAACGCTACCATGGAATATAGAAATTAGCCTATGGTAAGGTCTCAGAAACCCAGAAGCATGGACAGAGGTGCCAATACTTTATTGCTGGATGGGGGAGATGGAAGCTGGGAGTCTATATTTAAAGTCATCATAGGATGAAGAATGGTTGTTGTGGGTACATACAAAACACTTTTTTAAAACTACTATGTGGTTTTTTGCATTTTGCTCACTTACGGTGCTGCAAACTTATACCTGATTCTTAGAGTTCTCACAAAGGCATTTTGTGAGTATATTACTGTTAAGTATAAATTTATATAAATTTATATAAATTTATATAAATTATATAAAAGAATTAGAGCCTGTAATATTTTATTGTCACCTTATTAATGTGCTTTGGTTAATTATATATTTGCAAAGTGTATTCACCTGGGTCTAATGAGGGAGAAATTTGTAGTTCTTTTTTTTTTTAGCTGGGTCTTTTTATCTTACTGTAGATATATTGCTGGAGTATGACATAAAAGAATCATTTCAAAAACTGATCCTGATAAAATATGGAAGATATGACCTTCATAGTTTAAACTTAAAGAAAGACTACCAAAGTGTGGGTAATTCCAAGGTGCAGAAAAGCAGTTATAATGGCCCTCATCAATGTTTGTCAACTACCCACAGCAAAACCTGCCAACCTAATAAATATGGCAAAGCTTTTGAGTTTTGCTCAACCTTCACTGAACATAAAAAAGCCTTAGCAGACAGAAATGCTGCAAATGTGAAGAATGTGGCAAAAACTGTAGGCTGTTCTCAGATTTTACTATAAAAAATTCATACACAGATGGTGTAAATGTGAAGAATGTGGCAAAGACTTTAAAAGTTTTCAAAACTTTCTGAACATAAGAGTTTAAACAGGAGATAAACCCTACAAATGAAAAGGATGTGATAAAACCTTTTCCTGCTCCTCAACTCTTATTAAACACAAGAGAAATTATACTGGAGACAGAACCTACAGATGCAAAGAAAGTGGAAAAGCCTTTAAGTGCTTCTGAAACCTTACTAATTATAATAGAATTCATACTACTGAGAAACCCTACAAGAGTGAAGAATGTAACAAAGCCAATCGATAGTTCTCAGAACTTCATGAACATAAGACAACTCATACTGAAGAGAAACTCTACAAAGGTGAAGAATGTAATAAAGCCTATAAGTGGTTCTCAGACCTTACTAAACATAAGATAATTCATACTAGAGAGAAACTCTACAAATACAATGAACATGGAAGAGCCATTATGTAGTTATCTCTCCTTATAAACATAAAATAATTCATTCTGGAGAGAAACCCTATATCTGTGAAGAATGTGGCAAAGCCTTTACCTACTCCTTAACCCTTACTAGCCACAAAATAATTCACATGGAAGACAGACCTTACAAATATGAAGAATGTGGCAAAACCCTTAAGTGCTTATCAGACCATACCAATCATAAGATAATTCACACTGGAGAGAAACCCTACAATTGTGGAGAATGTGGCAAAGCATTGAGCTCATTCTCACATTTCATTAGACATAAGATAATTCATACTAGAGAGAAGCTCCACAAGTGTTCAAAGTGTGGAAAAGTCTTCAACAAGTCCTCATTTTGTGTTCAACATCAGAGACTTTATACTGAACCAATGTAACATAAAGGTAATGGCTGTTGAAGAACATTTAACTTATGATCTACGAGGGTCTCTAAGAAGTTGCTTTATAATCTGAGTGCTTTTTTGGGGGTGTGTGTGTATATATAGACCTTTACTATTATGTAATGTCCTTCTTTGTCTTTTTTTAAAACCTATATTTATGTAAAGTCTGTTTTGCCAGAAACTAGGATTGCAACCTCTGCTTTTATTCTGTTTTCTATTTGCTTAGAAGATTTTTTTTTCTCTTTTCATTTGAGGTTATTTGAGATGGGTGTCTTGATTACAGCATACCATTAGATCTTGTCTGTTTGTTCAGCTTGTCACTCTGTTTTATTTTTTTGTTTTGTTTTGTTTGAGACAGAGTCTTGCTCTGTTGCCCAGACTGGAGTGCAGTGGTGCAATCTCAGCTCACTGGAAGCTCCTCCTTCTGGGTTCATGCCATCCTCCTCCATCAGCCTCCTGAGTAGCTGGGACTACAGGCACACACTGCCACACCTGGCTAATTTTCATGGCTAATTTTTTGTATTTTTAGTAGAGACGGGGTTTCTCCGTGTTAGCCAGAGTGGTCTTGATCTCCTGACCCTGTGATCTGCCCATCTTGGCCTCCCAAAGTGCTGGGATTACAGGTGTGAGCCACCGTGCCTGGCACCACTTTGTTTTTTAATTGGGGAATTTAGCCCATTTTCATTCAAGTTTAGTATTCATGTGTATGGATTTCATTTTGTCACTATGATCTTTGCTATTTTCAAATTTATGTGGTTGCTTTATAGTGTCAGCAATTTATGTATTTTAGTGTGTTTTTGTAGTGACTGGTTATAGTCTCTTTCTTATTTAATGTTTTCTTTAGAAGCTCTTAAAAGGCAGGTCTTGTGGTAAAAGATTTCCTCAGCATTTGCTTAACTGAATAGGATCATATATATTTTTTTATTTCTGAACCTTACTTTTATCGGATATAAATTTTGGTTTAAAATTCTTGCTTAAGAATGTTGAATATTGGCCCCTCATCTCTTTGACAAGTAGAATTTCAACTGAAAGATTTATTATTTGTTTGATGTCCTTCATTTAGAGGTGACTTGGCTTTCCATGGATGATATCTAGAAATATGTATTTCAAGTGGTTTTCATTCTCTCCATCCCCTTCAGGTACTCTTTTTGACCACAGATTTGGATTCATTACATAAATCTTATATCTTAGATGTTTTGTTCATTCCTCCTTATTATTATTATTATTGTTATTGTTTTTACTCTTCTTGTCTAATTTAAGAAAGCCAGTGTTGAAGCTCTGAGATTCTTTCCTCTGCTTGGCCTATTCTACTGTTTATACTTGTGATTAAATTATAAAGTTTTTGTATTGTGTTTTTTCAGCTCTATCAGATTGGTCATATTTTCCTCCTAAATGGCTGTTTTTTTCTATCCATTCCTGCATTTTTTCCCCTTCATTGCAATGGGTTGAAAGTTAAATTTGTAGCTCAATGAAGTTCCTTATTCTGAATTCTACTTCTGTCATCTTAGGCCTCACTGGAAATGTAATTTCATCATTTGGATGAAAGAAGTCACTATGACTTTTTGTGTTTTCAAAATTTTTGTACTGATTTTGTCTAATGTTTCCATGTATATCTTTGAGGCTGCTGACCTTTGAATTTTTTTATCCCATTTAATGGTCTGGAGTATTTGATGTGGAATAAGGTGTTTGCAACCAACAAGCTTTGTTCCTGGGAGATTTTTAGGCCTCACTGGAAATGTAATTTCATCATTTGGATGAAAGAACTCACTACGGCTTTTTGTGTTTTCAAAATTTTTGTACTGATTTTGTCTAATGTTTCCATGTATATCTTTGAGGTGGTTGACCTTTGAATTTTTTTATTCCGTTTAATGGTCTGGAGTATTTGATGTGGAATAAGGTGTTTGCAACCAACAAGCTTTGTTCCTGGGAGATTTTTTTCTTGGTGGTGGAGGGGCTATGCTCAGCTCACAATTCAGAGGCTGCATACTCTGGGGAAATTGTATCGAGCTCCAACTGTCTTTTCTGGCTCCTTGATATTTGGAGTCCACCACTCTTTGTGACTAAGGTGTCACAGCTTTAGAAGAGAGTTAGTGGATATGGGGTTTCTCCCTGTCTTTGGGCATTCACCTCAGTGGCAAAGACAAAGCAGCTGAGAGTGAGTCACCTGTACCTGCTGGAGACTGTGTGGTCTGTTGCACTAAAGGTGGTGTTGGCTTGGGCAGGATGCGGGCCAGTGAAGGTTATGATGCCTTATTTTTGCCCCCCCCGCCCATGAAGTAATAATTGTTCAGAGAGTGGGAGAATACACTCTTTGTTACACAGTGTTAGCAGAAAAGCAGGGATGAGGCTCTCTGGCTTTCTGCCTACCAAAGTTTTATCTACTGTAGAAGTTCCTGAGGGTAGTAGAAGCATACTGCATTCCCATTTGCTGGTGGGGCAAGCAAAGTCAAACCCACCTTTGCAGACATGTGCCAGCAAAGTAACATGGGGAATTGCCATGGTGTCAGGGGAAGCTGCAGTATGGGAAAGATACATGTAGGCTGCAGAATGGGGAAGATACATGTAAGCTGCAATGATAGTGTCTGCCTTCCTGGAGCTCTTCAGGGGCCAAGCATTGATTACCAGGCTGATGCTATGGTATGGGCTTCTAGGGTACCTGAGACTGCCCTGTAAGAAGCTTTAGCTAGACTGCGACCCTGGGAGAGGCCAGGTGGCAAAAGAGTCCTCAGTTGGACCACCCCCTTCTGATTTGCAACATCATCCTGTAGAAATTAGTTCCAATGGTTCCCCTCAGGCTAAAATCTCTTATAGGAGAAAGTTCAGCCTAGAGAACTCGCCATCACTGGCCATATTTTGCTATAGATGCTCTTGCACCAAACCCTTAGAAATCAACAAGCTGGCTTGCTGCCCCACCTGTATGCCAGTCTTCTGAAGGGCTGCAACTAAGAGAGATGTAGGTGATCAATCCCTCAGTGCAGTCAGCCCTGGATGGAAAATCTGTGCTTTTGGCCAAGTTAGGGGCTCACTGTCTGGTGAGGAGCACTGGGGAGTCTGTGGGACCCATGGAGGATGGACTGACCTCCTTTCCTTTGGTATGCTGCAGCTTGTTTGAGGTGTGAATAAGGAACTTAGGGTTTTGGATTTTTCATTAGTTTCAGGACAGCAAGGACAATTCCACTGCAGAGACAGTGAATAAATATATGCAGTTGCCCCCAGAAGCTCTGTCCATGGAGTTCTTATGTTGTTACTTGCTCAATAGCTGTGGCAATGATTGGCTAGTGGCCCAGGCCTGAAGAACCTACCCAGTGAAAATATATAAGAACAGAAACACATGTAACAGTCTGTCCACTTCTGTGAAGAGCTGCTGCAACTGCAATAGGCTGGGTGTCCACTGCAGTATCTAGTCACCTCAGAATTTCCAGCATCTGAAGTTATCACCAGTGAATGTGCAAAAAAGTAACAATGGCAGCATGCCCTTTTCTCTGGGACCTCCATCCCAGGGATGTATAAACCTGTTTTCAGCCCAAAAGCACCTGTAGGATGTAGCTGGAAATGCCTCTTGAAAGGTATTCCCCAGTGAAAAGAAAGTGATTGGGGATCCACTTAAGAAAGCAGTCTGCTGGGTGCAGCAGCTCATGCTTGTAATCTCAACACTTTGGGAGGCTGAGGTGGGCAGATCAACCAGAGTCGGGAGTTAGAGACCAGCGTGACCAACATAGTGAAACTGAATCTCTACTAAAAATACACAATTATCCAGGCGTGGTGGCACATGCCTGTAATCCCAGCTAGTCGGAAGGCTGAGGTAGGAGAATTTCTTGAACCCAGCAGGCAGAGGTTGTGGTAATCTGAGATTGCCCCAGTGCACTCCAGCCTGGGCAACAGGGGGAATACTCTGTCTCGAAAGAAAGAAGGAAGGAAGGAAGGAAGAAAGAAAGAAAGAAAGAAAGAAAGAAAGAAAGAAAGAAAGAAAGAAAGAAGGAAGGAAGGAAGGAAGGAAGGAAGGAAGGAAGGAAGGAAGGAAGGAAGGAAAGAAAGAAAGAAAGAAAGAGAAAGAAGGGAGGGAGGGAGGGAGGGAGGGAGGGAAGGAAAGGAAAGGAAAGGAAAGGAAAGGAAAGGAAAGGAAAGGAAAGGAAAGGAAAGGAAAGTCTAGCCACATTTTTGTAGAACAGCTCTGCTTTGCAGAGGTACCACTTCCATCCACAGTTTATTTGGATCCTCCAAAGCCAGGAGGCAGGAACAGCTTAGTCACACAAACAGGAAAAAATGGCAGCTCACTCTTTGCTCTAGGAACTATAGCCAAAAAAGATTTCAAAATTCCATCTACGAAACAGGGCCAGTGATGTTAGCTGGAGATACTCATTGGGAAGTACTTTTCAGTGAGGAAGAAGGAGATTGGGGACCTGCTTTAACAGGCAGTCTGGCCATGTCTTTTTAGAGCACCTGTACTGTGCTAAGAGATCCTTTGTGCTTCTAGTAAGCTTGGGCTCCTCGAAGTCTGAAGGCTGGAATGGCTAAGTTTATCAAGCAGCAAAGATTGTGGCCAACTCCTTTTTCTGATTGCTTGATCCCAGGGAGGTGCAGTGCTTCTACCAATCATTGGCTGGAATTCAAAGCCAGTACATCTGTGAGGCACTGAGAAAATGTTTCCTACAGACCATCACTGCTAAGCCCCCTGGATTCTGCCTTTTTCCTATGAGTATGTACAGGGTTGTAGCATCCTTCTTTTCTGGAATTGCAGCTACTTTTTCTGGGAAGCCTAGAAACATATCTATCTAAGGCTTTTGAATCACTGCACAATCCTGAGCGGCTGCTCTGCTGAGACTCCATGTAGCTATGTGTCCTATACAGAAGGCTTTGGTGAAGTGGGTTTATGAGGGGATCACCTCACCAGAGGGTTGCAAAGATCTGTGGAAGAATCATGGGTTCCCAGGATCTCACATTCACATTCTGCCTTACTGGGTGTGACAGTTTCCCTGCCTCCATGTTGTTTTCAAGAGTCCCAGTGTCCTGTCTTGCTTTACTCCATTCTTCTTATGTTAAGTTGCTTCTTTGATTAGTCCTGATGGAAATAACTGGAAGTTTCCACTGAAAGTTATGTATTTATGCACACCTTGCATTCCTGTCTATGGGAACTCCGCAGTCTAGCTGCCTCTTTCTAGTCAGCAATCTAGATCACTTTCCCCTAAAGGGAATCTATATTTATATTAAAATAATTTAATATTTTTTGAAAATAATAAGTATTTTCAAAAACAAATATTGATGTAATTTATCTCTTACTTTGATGTTATATCTTTATTTCTGGAATGTATGTGAAAGAACATGGTCAATAGTTGCTGCACCAGAGTTATGAGAGATTCTTCTATATTAGAAGGACAGATTTATATACTTTTCCATGGAAGATGAGGAAAACCAAATCTAATATACTTGAAGAATTTATATGTGCAGAGGCAACTTAGTGGATGGTTTAATTGGGTATCATAAATGACAGTATGATAAGAGTGTGGTAAGGGCAACATTCTGCATAGTAAAAGAAACAATTTGATTTTTAGTTGGAAATTGATTTACCATTTGCAAATTAAGGTAATCAAAATAAAGTGAATTCTAAAATGCCTTTTTAATGACAATGTGTGGACTCTATTTGTTTTAATAAACCAATATTGTTGTTATCATGTTAAAGCTATTGTACATTGAATGTGTATCTTGCCACCGATGTTAAGTTATCCCATATTAACCAAGGCTATAGGTAACAGATGGTAACAATATGCTACTTGGGGACAGGGGAATAACATCTCTAGTAATGTTTTTGTGTTGTCAGTGTTTTTTAACTTAAAATAATTTGGAAAGTATATTTCTTAAAACTTATATTTTTGTTTTCTTTGTAACTACAGCTTATTATGATGGTGGTAATGAAGATATAAATTAGTATAATGGAGCTATATGTTTCTGAATACTAAACAACTATTTACAACTTTTATCCTACTTTTGTTCTATTAAATATATGACATCTCTGCTCTGATAAACACATACAGAACTTTAGTTTTGATTTACATGAATTTAAATATAAGAAGCATATTACTGTAAAATAAACTTTAGGCATGTAATAAATTGATAGAAAATAATCATATTTGTTTATCATTGCTTACATTGAGAAGAAAAGAAAAATATTAGAATAAAACAGATAATTTTACAAGTGTTCATATCTTACCAACAAACCAGAAACTTCAAAGATTTTCAAAGCAAATCTATTTTCTCTGCTTTGTATTAAACTCCATGATGTAAAGTGTTATTGCTAGTGGCTTAGAATAATCTTCTGCAAATTTTTCTCTTTTTTTGTATGTTTGCCTGTTGCTCACCCTAAATATAATATATAATTTTTTCATCTAATTTCATAAAACACTCTTTGGGCTGGACTTGGTGGCTCATGCCTGAAATTCCAGCACTTTGGGCAGCCAAGCCAGGTAGATCTCCAGAGATCAGGAGTTTGAGACCAGCCTGGCCAACATGGTGAAACGTTGTCTCTACTAAAATTACAAAAATTATCTGGCCATGATGTTGGGCTCCTGTAATCCCAGCTACTCAGGGGGCTGAGTAATGGAGAATCACTTTAACTCAGGGGACAAACATTAAAGTGATCCAAGATGGTGCCATTGCACTCCAGCCTGGGCAATGAAGTGAAACTTCATCTCAAAAAACAAACAAACAAACAAACAAACAAACAAACAAACAAACAGGCATTCTTTCTACACTCCCCTCAGAAATTATGAAAGTGACTTAGATAAAATTTAATGCTTTTCAGAAAATAATTTTCACATGTGAGTAATTTTATAGTGTGTATATGTTATTTATTTTGTACATTTTACATTTTTCAATTATAGAATTCTATTTAATCCAATAAGCCAATATTTGTTTAGTTGTTGTCTATTTTACTCTATAAAAATGACATAATTGAGTTTATTAATTTTATTGGCCCAATATATTCAAGTAAACAATAGAATTCTTAATAAGTCATGAGGTTTTTTTGACATGTACATGAAGTAAACAAAGATAATACTAACTATGTAAAGGAAGCTACATAATTATAAATAAGTATTCTTTTTAAAATTAGACTGTGGTCTCAAGTGAAACATTTAAAATATCTATAGTAAAAAATGACATTAATTTTGCATATGAAGAGAGCATAATTGTACCAATGCTGCAAGACCACATCTCAAAGTTGAAACAAGATTAAGAGATGGACATTTTAGCAAAACTAAATGAAATCATCCTAAAATTTTCAGATTATGTTTCTACATTTAAACATCTATGGAGAGAGGTAGTGCACAAGTCTATCCAGTCAAACTTGAAATGGCTGACACATGTTAATATTATTTACCACATGCATGGTCAGAATTCTATTCATTTTGATTAACAAAGTACAGTTTTTGTCTTCCTTCTCTAAATTCTGGCTTAGACGGAATTATCAATCCTTTTCATGTAGACTTGATTCTAGATTTATTTATTTACTTACTTTTTGATATAGAATCTCACTATGTCACCCAGGCTGGAGCACAATGGCATGATCTTGGCTCACTGAAACCTCCACCTCCTGGGTTCAAGTGACTCCCCTGGGTCAGCCTCCCAAGTAGCTGGGACTACAGGAAGGGGTTTTCATGCCTGACTACATTTTTGTATGTTTAGTAGAGATGGGGTTTTACCATGTGAGTCAGCATGTTTTGGATATATTGACCTTGTGATCTTCCTGCCTTGACCTCACAAAATGCTGGCATTACAGGCATGAGCCACCATTCCCAGACTTGATTCTATATCTTGACACAACACATTTTCAACTTATTGTTTCTGAGGATAGAAAAGCTGTGTTATATGGAAGAACAAACCAAACATTTGTTATAATTCAAGGAGATTTTACTTGTGCCCTGCTGTCCTGGATTCTCAGAAGTGTAGGGCTGACAGACATTACTAGAAGGTAGAAGTGGGAAACAATCTTAATGGAAAATTGTGTGCGTGTCAAGATTGTCTTCTTAGGAACTGACAGGATCAGCCTTAAATTCTGGGTTTATTATGGGCAATTGGGTGATATATAAAAAGTGGCTATGGTCCATCATGTTCTATGCCAACCCACCTTCTGCAAGTAGTAAAACTCAGTAAGACTAGTGTTTGTTTGAAGTATGAATTTTGTGATTTTTATTTTTATTTTTATTATTTATTTATTGTTATATTTTAAGTTCTAGGGTACTTGTGCACAACGTGCAGGTTTGGTACGTATGTATACATGTGCAATTTTGGTCTGCTGCACCCAATAACTCATCATTTACATTAGGTATATCTCCTAATGCTATCCCTCCCCCTTCCCCTCATCCCACAACAGGCCCCAGTTGTGATGTTTCCCTTCCTGTGTCCAG